>NW_017852929.1:0-142129 GCF_000001405.40 Homo sapiens | reverse complement strand
TTAGGTATATCTCCCAATGCTATCCCTCCCCCCTCCCCCCACCCCACCACAGTCCCCAGAGTGTGATATTCCCCTTCCTGTGTCCATGTGATCTCATTGTTCAGTTCCCACCTATGAGTGAGAATATGCGATGTTTGGTTTTTTGTTCTTGTGATAGTTTACTGAGAATGATGATTTCCAATTTCATCCATGTCCCTGCAAAGGACCAGCACGGCACATGTATACATATGTAACTAACCTGCACAATGTGCACATGTACCCTAAAACTTAAAGTATAATAAAAAAACAAAAACAAAAACAAAAAAACCATCGCCACATTCGAGGTCTTGAAAATTTGCCCCTGTGTTTTCCTCTAAGCGTTGTCCGGTTTTAGCTTTTATATTCGGGTTGTTGATCCCCCAATTCATTCTTAAGAGAGAAAGGAACCTACCTGAGCACAAAGCTGATTTCCTTTTTTAAATCTCTCTAGGTTTGAAAAGCAGCTATTTTGAACCCAGAGAACCTTTTATTAAGTTCATATAGATGTTTTCAAATGCTTCCTATTATCATCTGACCCTGACAACAATCCATTTACAAATGTATTATTGTGTTTTCACAACTGGAATCCAGCAATGAAGAATCGTATTAATAAGCAACCATGAGTTGGATGTGGTGGCTCACGCCTGTAATCCCAGCACTTTGGGAGGCCAAGGCAGGTGGATCACCTGAGGTCAGGAGTTCGAGACCAGCTTGGCCAACATGGTGAAACCCCATCTCTACTAAAAATACAAAAATTAGCTGGTCATGGTGGTGCGCGCCTGTAATCTCAGCTACTCGGGAAGCTGAGGCAGGAGAATTGCTTGAACCGGGGAGGGAGAGGTTGCAGTGAGTCAAGATCGCACCATTGCACTCCAGCCTGAGCAACAGAGCGAGACTTTGTCTCAAAAAAAAAAAAAAAGTAGCAACCATAACATCAACCAACACTGGCTCTGTCAGAATACTTCACAATAGAGGATGAACCTCACTTCTCCCACGCTGGGCCTCAGATTCCCTAAAATTGAAATAAGATTTTGGCTTGGAGGTCTTCCAAACATGGATGCTGCCAGTCTGTGGGCATGGGAAGCCCAGAGCTTTGCCTTCGGATATGTCATTCCCCCAAATCTGACCACCTGACATGTTTGTTTTTATTTTTTTATTATTTTAAAATTAAACTAAATTCAATTTTTGAGACAGAGTCTTGCTCTGTTGCCCAGGCTGGAGGGCAGTGGTGCAATCGTGGCTCACTGCAGCCTTGAACTCCCAGGCTCAAGCAATTCTCCCACCTCAGCCTCCCAAGTAGCTGGGACTACAGGCATGCATGCCACCACACCCAACTAACTTTTTAATTTTTTTTTTTGTAGAGATGTGGGGGGCGGTCACTATGTTGCCCACACTGATCTTGAACTCCTGGCCTCAAGAGATCCTCCTGTCTCAGCCTCCCAAAGTGGTGGGATTACAGGTGTGAACCTCCATGCCTGGCCAGGTCTGTTTTTAATATCTTTAGCAGCAAAGCTTTTAACGGGCAGATTCTTGTGCAGAGTTCTGGTTTGTAAAGAGAAAAAGTGGAGCTCCTCTGGGCAAAGCTGGCGAGGTTAAAATTGAGGTGAAATTTACATTTTTCTCCACCTGATATTAGGATTATGTGTTGTATAAGTCTTTAAGCTCAATTGTTTGCAATCGTACGATGATCCCCATCCCATCCCCTCCTGGGCACTTTCAGGGCAGTGTCCAGAGATTGGGGAGAGGCTGCTGGTGGGAGCCGTCACCTGGCAGCCAGGGCCTGGATCCCATCTATGGGCCACCCTCCCAAGCCTGGGTCCCGAGGTGCTTCTTGCTTATTCCCATGTGATCAGCACGCTCTGGCTGATGGGGGCAGAGGCTGGTGAGAAGAAACGGGCCCCCTGCCCCACAGTGATTTTGGGAAGGTCTGTTCTCTGGCAGGAGGTTATCTTTCTGTCCTAGTCCAGGTCCCAGCAGGAAAGAGCACACTCCAGTGGGGCCACTGCAGAGCGTTTGTTTATTTGTCTGTTTATGAGAGACAGGGTCTTGCTCTGTCACCCAGGCTGGAATGTAGTGGTGCCATCATAGCTCAATGCAGCCTCAATCGCTTGAGCTCAAGTGATCCTCCCGCCTCACACAGCCCCACAAGTAGCTGGGACTACAGGCAGGCACCACCATGCCAGGCTGATTATTTTTTTATTTTTGAGACGGAGTCTTGTCTTGCTCTGTCACCCAGGCTGGAGTGCAGCGGCGTGATCTCAGCTCATTGCAAACTCCGCCTCCTGGGTTCAAGCGATTCTCCTGCCTCAGCCTCCTGAGTAGCTGAGATGACAATCGCCTGCCACCACACCCAGCTAATTTTTGTATTTTTAGTAGAGACGGGGTTTCACTGTGTTGGCCAGGCTGGTGTTGAACTCCTGACCTCATGATCCACATCCACTTGCCTCGGCCTCCCAAAGTGCTGGGATTACGAGCGTGAACCACTGCGCCTGGCCCAGGCTGATTATTTTTATTTTTATTTCTTTAGAGATGGAGGTCAATCTTGCTATGTTGCCCAGGCTGGTCTCGAACTCCTGGGCTTAAGCAATCCGCCCGCCTTGGCCTCCCAAAGTGCTGGGATTACAGGCGTGAGCCGTGGTGCCTGGCCTCACTGCATAGGGTTTAATGAAGAGACAATTTACTGAGGTGGGGCAGAGTTCAAGAAAGACAATAGGTACAGTAAAGCACCGCCTGCTCAGGCCATAGGGGAAGCCCCTGCACCCTGGATGTGGCTGTGGGAGAAGCGTTGGCCCCCAGGGGCACGGAGCAACTCCAGGGGGACAGTGCAACTGCCGCCCGACCAGACCCAGCAGGGCCGGGGGTGCATTCACCTCTCCCCTCCTGCGCACCCATCTCCTCTCAGCATCTCCTGTGGCCAAACCCAACCAGAGCCAGAAAGTAGGAACCCAGGCAGGTACCTGGGGGGTCAGCCTCCTGGACCCAGGATGGGGTGGAAAAGGATGGCAGGTGGATCTGGAGCAAAGGAAGCCATCAGCTCCTGGCCCCGTGCAGCAAGAGCTGCCCCTTGGTCTCTTGTGGTTTGAGCTTCTCATGAGGGTGGGGAGGTTTAATGGTTAATATTCCAGAAAGTTCCATCTCAGATAATGTTGCTTCTCCAGCCTGGGCAATATAACAAGACTCTGTCTCTACAAAAATAAAAAAATAATAAGCTGGGCGTGGTGGCGGGCACCTGTAATCCCAGCTACTCGGGAGGCTGAGGCAGGGGAGCTTGAGGCTACAGTGAGCCGTCTTCACACTACTGCACTTCCAGCCTGGGTGACAGAGTGAGACTCTGTCTCTACAATAAAATAGTCCAGGCGCTGTGGCTCATGCCTGTAATCCCAGCACTTTGGAAGGCCAAGGCGGGTGGATCACCTGAAGTCAGGAGCTCAAGACCAGCCTGGCCAACATGGTGAAACCCCATCTCTACTACAAATACAAAAATTAGCCGGGTGTGGTGGCGGGTGCTGTAATCCCAGCTACTCAGGAGGCTGAGGCAGGAGAATCGCTTGAACCCAGGAGGTGGATCTTGCAGTGAGCTGAGATGCCAGCACTGCACTCCAGCCTGGGTGGCAGAGCCAGACTCCATCTCAAAACAAAATAAACAGATGAAAGAAAGAAAGAAAAAGAGCGAGAGGGAAGGAAGGAAGGAAGGAGGGAAGGAAGGAGAAAGAAAGGAAAGAAAGAGGAAGGAAGGAAGGAAGGAAAAAGAGAAAGAAAGAAAAGAAAGAAAGAAGAAAGAAAGAAAAGAAAGAAAGAGAAAGAAAGAAAGAAGGAAGAGGGAGTTTGCTTTGGGGAAGGCCTCAGGTTAATTTTCAGGTGGCTAGCACTGCCCAAGAGTGAGTGGGCACACAGAGTGCCCTGCCTTTAAAAATGCAGCAAGAAGCGCATTGGATGGAATCATTGGCTCATGGTATCTGGAGAAAGTTTAATGGGTTTTTCTATAGAAATCAAGCGGGCTTAAATCCTCTGGCTGAAAAAAATTCCCCAGAGTCATGGGTTGGCATTGGCACAACAATAAAAACAGACGTCCCCGGAGTCCAAAATCTAATTTTGATCCTTCCAATAGCCTGGGCAGGCGGGTGGGGCAGATGAGTAATGGTCTCTTTTCAGCAGGTGAGCAAATGGGCTCGGAGGGGTGAAGCAGTTTGCCCAAAGATAACACAATGAGTCAGCATCTGAGACATGGCTCCGTTTCTCTCTTTTTTTTTTTTTTTGAGATGCAGTTTCACTCTTGTCACCCAGGTTGGAGTGCAATGGCGCAATCTCGGCTCACTGCAACCTCCTCCTCCTGGGTTCAAGCGATTCTCCTGCCTCAGCCTCCTGAGTAGCTGGAACACCAGGCACATGCCACCATGGCTGGCTAATTTTTTGTGTTTTTAGTAGAGACAGGGTTTCACAGTGTTAGCCAGGCTGGTGTCGAACTCCTGACCTCGTGATCTGCCTGCCTCGGCCTCCCAAGGCGCTTGGATTACAGGCATGAGTCGCTGCGCCTGGCCCTAAATCCCGTTGTTAGAAGAATTAAATGAGTTCATATATGTGAAGTGCCTAGCACCTATTAGATGATGAAGACATATTTATTGAATGAATGATAGCCAGATCTCTGGGATGGGAACGATGACTCCCAAGCACCGTGCTCCATTTGGGGAGTGGTGGAGATGGAGACGTTCTTGGCATGCACATCCAGAAACCCCCGGACTTGACACATGCAGAGGGCTTGGTCCCTGCCCCCCAGACAGCCAGATTTAGGAAATAGGCCCCTAAGTTCCAATCTCTCCCCTCCCTTTTCCTCTTTCATTCTTTTCTTGGTTTCTTGTCGAGTTCTGTGACGGTAGGTGAGCATCACAAAATGCCCCATGAGCTGCATGGCTGTGGGTAAGTAGTCACTTTGCCTCCACATTTCCATCCTTCCTCCCTCCCCCGCTCCCTCCCTCCCCTCCCTCCCTCGCTCCCTCCCTCCCTTCCTTCCTTCCTCCTTTCTTTCCTGCTTGCTTTCTTGCTTGCTTTCCTTCCTTCCTTTTTTTCCCCTTCCTCCCTCTTTCTCTTTCTTTCTTTTTTTTTTTTTTTTTGAGATGGGGTCTCGCTCTGTCATCCAGGCTGGAGAGCAGTGGTGCGATCTTGGCTCACTGCGAGCTCCTCCTGCCGGGTTCGTGACATTCTCCTGTTTCAGCCTCCCAAGTAGCTGGGACTACAGGCGCCTGCCACCATGCCTGGCTAATTTTTTTGTATTTTTAGTAGAAACGGGGTGTCACTATGTTAGCCAGGCTGGTCTCCATCTGACCTCGTGATCTGCCTGCCTTGGCCTCCCAAAGTGCTGGGATTACAGGCGTGAGCCACCGTGCCCGCCCTTCCTTCCTTCCTTCCTTCCTTCCTTCCTTCCTTCCTTCCTTCCTTCCTTCCTTCCTCCCTCCCTCCCTCCCTCCCTTCCTTCCTCTTTCCCTCCCTCTCCCTCTCCTCTTTCTTTTCTTCTCTCTCTCTCTTCTTTTTTTTTGAGACAGGGTCTTACTCTGTCACCCAGGCTGGAGTGCAGTGGTACGATCAAAGCTCACTGCAGCCTCAACCTCCTGGGCTCAAGCCATCCTGCCACCTCAGCCTCCCAAGTAGCTGGGACTACAGGCACGTGCCACCATACCCAGCTAATTTTTTTTTTTTGTAGTGACGTGGTCTCAAACCCCTGGGCTCAAGTGATCCCCCTGCCTTGGCCTCCCAAAGTGCTAGGATTACAGGTGTGAGCCACCATGCCCAGCCCATACAATGGAATATTTAAAAAACTGAGGATGTAAATGTATATATATTTTTAAGGTTCTAGAACAGCTTAACCCCTTTTTTGCAAAATAGGTGCTTCTCTGATCACCAAGATAAGATCAGATCAGATCACGGTGAGTTTATCTGGGTGGTGGGATTTCAGGTGATTTTTTTTTTTTTTTTTGAGACGGAGTCTCACTCTGTCCCCCAGGCTGGAGTGCGGTGGCGCTATCTCGGCTCACTGCAAGCTCCGCCTCCCGGGTTCACGCCATTCTCCTGCCTCAGCCTCCCGAGTAGCTGGGACTACAGGCACCCGCCACCTCGCCCGGCTAATTTTTTGTATTTTTAGTAGAGACGGAGTTTCACCGTGTTAGCCAGGATGGTCTCAATTTCCTGACCTCGTGATCCACCCGCCTCGGCCTCCCAAAGTGCTGGGATTACAGGCATGAGCCACCGCGCCCGGCCCAGGTGATTTTTTTAAACCTTCTTTACATTTATAAGTGTTGCCTGAAGTTTTTTTTTTAGTGAATGAGAATGACTGTTTTTAATCTGAAATCATAATTAGTATTATTTTTGAGACAAGGTCTCCCTTTGTCTCCCAGGCTGGAGTGCAGTGGCATGGTCACAACTCACTGTAGCCTTTACCTCCCAGGCTCAAGCGATCCTCCCGTTTCAGCCTCCTGAGTAGCTGGGACTGCAGGTGTGCACCACCATGCCTGGCTAATTAAAAAAAAATTTTTTTTTGTACAGACGGGGTCTCACTATGTTGCCTAGGCTTGAAATTATTCTTGATGAAAAGGAGGAAATAAATCCCAATCAATGTCAAGAGGCTCCCTTTGGGCCCTCGCCTTGGGGTAGTGAGGGGTGAGGGGAGTCCTTTCCAGCCAGCTTTGGAAGCCGCATTCCCAGCTGTTGTTTGTTGAGGCCTTGGAGGAGGAAGGAGATCTGTGCCCTCCCAAGAGGGTGACGGGATGAAGCCTTGGCAGGTTCACCACGTGCTCCTTGAAGACCAAACATGGACACGGAGCCTGGGCCCAGAAATAGCCCCTTTTGCTCCAGAGACCCTTGGAATTCTGTGGGGTCATCGCAGGGAGGGGAGAGCCTGAGCAGGCTGTTGCCGAAACCTTCCTTGCAGACTCCGAAATGGAAGATGGGACCTGGGACAGGCTCCTCTGAGCACGACACTCCCGAAGTGGGGCAGAGATGAAACTGCGACCTGGACAAAGAGTTCCCTAGAGTCAGCCCAGGCCAGATGCTGTGGCTCATGCTTATAATCCCACCATTTTGGGAGGTGAGGCAGGCAGATTGCTTGAGGCCAGGAGTTTGAGACCACCCTGGCCAACATGGCAAAACCCCATCTCTACAAAAAAAAAAAAAAATTGCAATTAGCTGGATGTGGTGGTGTGTGCCTATAGTACCAGCTACTCAGGAGGCTGAGGAGGGAGGATGGTTTGAGCCCGGGAGGCAGAGGTTGCAGTGAGCTGAGATTGTGCCACTGCACTCCAGCCTGGGTGACAGCATGAGACTCAGACTCTTAAAAAAAAAAAAGTCAGCCCAGCTTGAAGAACTTCTATTTCCAAGCCAACTGGAGATTTCCTAATAAATGTGAATTCTTTTTTGTTTGTTTATGTGAGACAGAGTCTCGCTCTGTCACTCAGGGTGGAGTGCAGTGGCGAGATCTCGGCTCAGTGCAACATCTGCCTCCTGGGTTCAAGCGATTCTCCTGTCTCAGCCTCTAGAGTAGCTGGTATTACAGGCCCCCGCCACCACGCCTGGCTACTTTTTGTATTTTTAATAGAGACTGGGTTTCGCCATGTTGGCCAGGCTGGTCTCGAACTCCTGACCTCAGGTGATCCACCCACCTCAGCCTCCCAAAGTGCTGGGATTACAGGCATGAGCCACTGCACCCAGCACCTAATAAATGTGAATTCTGTGGGATCCCAGAAATATGATATATGGCAGTCCAGGCTGCTGAAGACAGGTTTCTCCAGGGGTCCAGCTGTATTTCTTTCTTTTTTTATACTGTGTTTGGATTTATATCTCAATTTGATTTTATTTGGCGCTAAAGTGACATTTTTATTTTATTATCTTGAAAATATTTCAAAAATCTTTCTGATTGTTCATCCCCCTTCTTCCCTCTCCTTTCCCCCCCTTCATCCATCATTTCTCTTTGTCAAGAAGTATTTAGGCCAGGCTCAGTGGCTCAGGCCTGTATTCCCAGCACTTTGGAAGGCAAAGGTGGGAGGATCACTTGAGCCCAGGAGTTCAAGACCAGCCCGGGAAAGAAAGCAAAACCCAATCTCTACAAAAAATACAAAAATTAAGTGGGTGTGGTGGCATGTGCCAGTGGTCCCAGCTACTCAGGAGGCTGAAGTGGGAGGATCACTTGAGCCCAGGATGTGGAGGCTGCAGTGAGCTGTGATTGCACCACTGCACTCCAGCCTGGGCAACAGAGCAAGACCCTGTCTGAAAACAAGATTTAAAAAAACAGAGAAAACCCATTCTCCTGGGACATGGTAAGTGCTGGCGCTCACTGAGGCCATGTGACACCTGGCCATGCTTCTGCCCATGTCCCTCTCCTCCTTCCCTGCCCCTCTAGGGCAGGCCGCAGCCCCAGGGCTGGGGAGCAGGAGCCCTGGATTGTTCATCTTATTCAAGGCTGAAAAGCTTCAGGAGAACAGCAGGATTGTAAATGACCCGTCTTTTTATTATGATGCTCTGTGAAGTCAGTTTGGGCAAGAAAATCAATTCTGCCTCATCCACCTTCTCAGTCTCATTTATTCTCCACAGATGACAGGACAGAGTGGAATGGCCTGGAGTGATAGAAGCCAGGCCCCGTCACTGTCATCGCAACCCGGGAAGCCTGGTTTACAAGTGCTCCAATTTTCCTTTCTTTCTTTCCTTTATTTCGTCTCGCTCTGTCACCCAGGCTGGAGTGCAGTGGAGCGATCTCTGCTCATTGCAACCTCCGCCTCCTTGGTTCAAGTGAATCTCCTGCCTCAGCCTCCTGAGTAGCTGGGACTACAGGCGTTCACCACCGCTCCCGGCTAATTTTGTATTTTTAGTAGAGATGGAGTTTCACTATGTTGGCCAGTCTGATCTCAAACTCCTGACCTCAGATGATCCACCTGCCTTGACCTCCTAAAGTGCTGGGATTACAGGTGTGAGCCACTGTGCCCAGCCCAATTTTCATTCTCTTAGAGTGCGAACCAGGGTGCTTTATAAGAAGGGGACCACTTCTCTCTCCTCCCCATCATCTCTCCCTGGGACTGGGCAAAAAGCTCCACGTGGAACCCCCAGATTCCTGTGAGCTTCCTCCATTGTAGGCTGGTTATGGTCTGATCTGGCAGATCATAAGCCCCGTGGGAGGGAAGGGGGTGCTCTGTCCCCCCATTTTATCCTCAGTGCCACCACATTTGTCTAAGACAAGGTTGAATTAATGAAAAGGTGAACACACCCGGTGTTGTGGCTCATGCTTGCAATCCCAGAGCTTTGGGAGGCTGAGGCAGGAGGATTGCTTGAGCTCAGGAGTTTAAGACCAGCCTGGGCACCATAGTGAGACCCCATCTCTACAAAAAATTTAAAAATAAGCTGGGTGTGGTGACTCACACCTATAATCCCAGCACTTTGGGAGGCTGAGGCAGAAGGATTGCTTGAGCCCAGGAATTTGAGACCAGCCTGGGGAACATAGCAAGACCCCATCTCTGCAAAAAATTTAAAAATTAGCCAGACCTAGTGGCATGCGCTAGTAGTTCTGGCGATGTGTGAGGCTGAGGCAGGAGGATTGCTAGAGCCCAAGAGTTCAAGACCAGTCCATGCAACATAGTCTCTATCTCTACAAAAAATGTTACGGCGGAGCCTTTGGTTTCCCTTTGCTGCCTTTTCTCCCCGTGCCTCCTTTTTCTTCCCTTAACACCCCTTTTCCTCCTCACCCCCAGCCCTGTGCTAAACAAAGTCTACCAGGAACCTCAGCGCCGCTACAAGGGGTCGGCATCCGGACGAGGGGAGGTCCCCTCACCTGGGGACGTCCTGACACTTGTGCATGAACACACACACAGACATACAGACACATATACAGAAACACACACACACGCAGACAGACACACACACACAGACACAGACACACAGACACACACAGAGACACACACAGACACACACAGAGACACACACAGACACAGACACACACAGACACACAGACACACACAGACACACACACAGACACACAGACACAAACATACACAGACACACACACAGAGACACACACAGAGACAGACACACAGACACACACAGAGACACACACAGACACACAGGCACACACAGAGACACACAGACACACACAGAGACACACACACAGACACACACAGACACAGACATACACAGACACACACAGAGACACACACAGACACAGACACACAGACACACACAGAGACACACACACAGACACACAGACACACACACAGACACACAGACACACACAGACACACACGGACACACACAGATACACACAAACACAAAGATACACACAGACACACAGATGCACACACACAGACACACACAGACACAGACATATACACACACAGACACACATATAGACATATACACACAGACACACACACACAGACACACATATAGACATATACACACAGACACACTCAGACATACACACAGACATATACACACAGACACGCAGACACACAGACATACACGCAGACACACAGACACACACACACATAGACATATACACACACAGACACAGACACACAGACATACACACAAACATACACACAGATACACACAGACACACACACAGACACACACATAGACATATACGCACACAGACACACACATAAACACACAGACACAGACACACACAGACACATAGACACACAGATACACAAAGGCACAAAGACACACACAGACACACACAGACACACATAGACACATACACAAACGGACACATGCAGACGCACAGACACACGCACAGACACATACAGACACACACGGACACACACACAGACACGTGTCAGGAAGACACACAGAGACATAGACACACACAGACATACACACATACAGACACACACAGAGACACACATAGAGACACACAGACACATAGACACACACACAGAAACACACACCTAGACATACACACAAACACAAAGAGACACACACGGACATACACAGGCATACACAGGCATTCACAAACACAGACATACAGGTACACACAGACACATAGTCACACACAGACACACATACACATAGACATACACATAAATACAGACAGAAACACACAGCACACACAGACACACACATATAGACACACATAGAGAGACGCGCAGCACACACACAGACACACGCAGAGGCCAGGCGTGCCGACAGCTGCGTTCGTCGGAGCCAGTGGATTCCCGAAGACTGACCTCAAGCGCAAAATCTTTCCTGAATCCCCTGAGGGAAGTGTGCCGTCAACTCTACAATTGGGGGTTTTCAAAAAATCCTTCTTATATTAATAACGAAATAAATATGTATTTATACATGAATGACCAGTGACGTGCCAACCTGGGGGACAGTAGGAGCAGCTGGCCAGGGCTGTGGCAACAAGTAGATCAACTACAGAGGATTTAAAAACAACAATAAAATTCAAATAGAAATCAGCTCCCTTTCATGACTGCCCTACCCTGTAAATGATCAACAATGTCAATGATAAATGCTCCCCGCTGCTGGGGAGGGCCGCTCCCCACACCCCGCCTTGGGATGCCGCCGTCAATAGCAGTATAAATGATACTATAGAAACAGGAAGATGTGCTTTGCTTTGAAGAAATGAATCAGAAGGCAGAAAATTCTGACACACGCTGCAACACGGAAGAGCCTTGAGGACATTACCCCGAGTGAAATAAAGCAGACACACGGGGACAAACAACACACGATTCCTCTTCCGTGCGGTCCCCGGAGGCGTCAAACTCACAGACACAGAAAGTGAAACGGTGGCTGCCGGGGGCTGGGGTTGGAGGGGAAAATGGGGGGTGAGTATTTGATGGGGACAGGGTTTCCATTTGGGAAGATTAAAATGTTCTGGGGACCGATGGTGGTGACAGTTGCACAGCGATGTGGATGTGCTTAATGCCGCCAAGCTGTGCATTAACTAGTTAAAACGGTAAAGTTCATGTTATGTGTATTTTACCACAATAATAAAAGCAAAGGAGGGAAAGGAAAAAATGAGGGAAAGGAAGGAAAGAGGGAGGGAGGAGGGTAGGGAGGAGGGAGGGAAGGAAAGAAGGAAAGACATAGAAAAAAGAAAGGAAGGAGGGGCCAGGCACGGTGGCCCTCACCTATCATCCCAGCACTTTGGGAAGCTGAGGGAGGCAGATCACCTGAGGTCAGGAGTTCAAAACCAGCCTGACCAACACGGTGAAACCCTGTCCACGAAAAAAATACAAAAATTAGCCAGGCATGGTAGCAGGCACCTGTAATCCCACCTACTCGGCAGGCTGAGACAGAAGAATCGCTTGAATCTGGGAGGCAGAGTTTGCTGGGAGCCAAGATTGTGCCACTGCACTCCAGCCTGGGTGACAAGAGTGAGACTCCGTCTCAAAAGAAAACAAAAAAAAAAAAAAAGAGAGAGAGGAAGTGAACAAGAGAAGGAATGAGGAAAGAAGGGATGGAATAAAGGAAGGAAAGAAAAAAGAGAAAGGAAGGAAAGGAGGAAGGAGAGAAGGAAGGAGACGGAGAGAAGGAAGGAGACAGAGAGAGACAGGCACAGCCTGACACCAGGCATTAAAGCATCATGGGGAAGATGAGGTCACACCAATCAGACCTTACCTCATCATGTGACCTTGGGTAAGTCACCTAGATGTTCCCAGCCTCAGTTTCTTGCTCTGTGAAATGGGATCGGTTATTCCTACTGCATCAGAAGAATCAAAGCTGGTTCAACAAACCAGGCAAACACGCCCCTCCAGGTAGTTTAATCTTGAGAATTTAACGTGAGAGTTTGTTGGAGAGGAGAGGAAGTACCACCAGACCAGTGGGCGAGTGGCCCTCAGGGGTCAGCAAAGGCTGGGAGGGCCGAGGAGACGGGTTCCATGGAAGGTGGAGCTGGTGGAGTGTGGGGAAGCAAGATGAGGATGGAGATGGAGTGAAGGAGACCACAGAGGTGTCCTGTCCCTGACAGGGTGGACATGGCCTTACACAGAGTGGGGATGTGGAGTTGGGGAGGGCTCACGGCTTCCACTGACGTCCAGGTTTCCACCCACAGTGCTGCTTCTCCTGCCTTCCTGAGACCTCTGGGGACCTCCTGTGCGCACCATGGTGGTTGGCTGATTAGATTTAGCCAAAGAATGATTATTGGATTCCAAAGCTTGATGTGGTTGGGTGTGGTGGCTCATCCCTGGGAGGCCAAGGCAGGAGGATGGCTTGAGGATGGTTGAGTTCGAGACCAACCTGGGCAACATAGTGAGACCCTTTTTTTGTGCAAAAAAAAATTTTTTTTTAATTATCCAGGCGTGGTGGTGTGTGCCTGTAATCCCAGCTATTCAGCAGGCAGAGGTGGGAGGAATGCTTGAGCACAGGAGTTCGAGACCAGCCTGGGGAACATAGGTAGACCCGATCTCTGCAAGAAATAAAAACAAATTAGCCAGGTGTGGTGGTGCACAACTGTGGTCCCAGCTGTTTGGGAGGCTGAGGTGGGAGGACGGGTTGAGTCTGGAGGTCAAGTTTGCAGTGAGCTGTGATAGCGCCACTGTGCTCCAGCCTGGGCAGCAGAGCAAGATCCCATCTCTAAAACAATTTTTTATTTTTGAGATGGAGTTTCGCTCTTGTTGCCCAGGCTGGAGTGTAGTGGTGCCATCTCGGCTCACTGCAGTCTCCGCCTCCTGGGTTCAAGTGATTCTCCTGCCTCAGCCTCCCAGTTAGGTGGGATTACAGGTGCCTGCCACCACGCCCAGCTAATTTTTTGTATTTTTAGTAGAGATGGAGTTTTGCCATGTTGGCCAGGCTGGTCTTGAACTCCTGGCCTCAGGTGATCTGCCCACCTTGGCCTCCCAAAGTGCTGGGATTACAGGTGTGAGCCACCACGCCTGACCTAAAACATAATTTTTTTTTTAAAAAAAATCAATAATCCCTTATTAGACAGTGCAACCTTTTATCATCTGGCCCATTGTGGATGGCTCCCAGTGCCCCCTCCGCTGGGCACCAGGCCATCTTCGCTTTGGCATCTTACTCCCTTGTCCCTCTAGCAATACTGAATGGGCTCTTCATTCCCAGGGAACACATGCCCATTTTTCTTGCCTCAATAACTCCTCCTGTGCTGTGTCCTCTGCCTGGAGCATCTTCCTCAGTTTTCCATCTGCAAACTCCTTTTCCTGAGGACTTGGTTTGGGCATCCCCTCTTCCAGGAAGCCCTCCCTGACCTCCCCCTCTATGTTGTCCCAATTGCCGTCTTTTAAAAAAAGTTTATTATTATTTATCTTGAGACAGAATCTTGCTCTTGTCACCCAGGCTGGAGTGCAGTGGCACAATCACAGCTCACAGCAGCCTCGACTCCTAGGTTTAAGTGATCCTCCTGCCTCAGCCTTCCAAACAGCTAGGACTACAGGTGTGCACCACCCCTTGCAGCTAATTTGTGTGTGTGTGTGTGTGTGTGTGTGTGTGTGTGTGTGCATGTGATGGAGTCTTGCTCTGTCGCCCAGGCTGGAGTGCAATGGCGTGATCTCGGCTCACTGCAACCTCTGCCTCCCGGGTTCAAGCAATTCTCCTGCCTCAGCCTCCTGAGTAGCTGGGATTACAGGTGTGCGCCACCACACCCGGCTAATTTTTGTATTTTTAGTAGAGATGGGGTTTTGCCACGTTGTCCAGGCTGGTTTTGAACTCCTGGCCTCAAGTGATCATCCCGCCTCAGCCTCCCAAAGTGCTGGGATTACAGGTGTGAGCCACTGTGCCCGGCCCTCTCAGCTAATTAATTTTTTTTTTTTTTTGTAGAGACGGGGTCTCACTACATTGCCCAGGCTGGTCTCAAACTCCTGGGCTCAAGCAATCCTCCTGCCTTGGTTTCCCAAAGTGTTGGGATTACAGGCGTGAGCCACTGCACCAGACTACAATTGCCGTCTGGTTTCCACTTTGCTGGGAGGGCAGGGACCAGGTCATTCATTCACTGCTGCTTTGTCAGGGCGTGGCACATGAAGATTAGAGTAGGCAGTCTAAATATTTGCAGAATCAATACCTGAAATGTTCTTATTTTCATTCCAGTATGAAGCAGATCTATTCTCACCTCCATCAAATCTTATTGCCTGCCTTGGGAGTAAACGCTAATTAATTCAACAGCAGCTTTTAAGCCTTCTGTGCAAGTTTAGGAAGAGGCCACTCAACCTAGCTAGATCCTAGGAGCCTTAAACGTCCAGAATGCAAACCCTTCCCTAGAAGGAATTCCCCTCAACCCTCACCCCACTTCACCTTTTGATGGTTTACTCAAGGGCCTCAAAATGCTACAGCTGCAGAGGCTGAAGGTTCTGAACATGAGACTCACCTGGGAGACCCGGGCCTCGCCCCTCAGCCTCCCTGACCAACTCAATCAGCCTCTTGCCCGGGGCGGGCTCAAAACTCCCCAAGTGATTCCAATCTGCGTTCACGCATAAGAACCATCGGCGTGGGGGTAGAATCAGCCCTGTGAGGTGGGGCCAAGGGCTGCGAAACACCTGCCATCAGCTGAGGGCATTTAAGGCTGACCAAGGGGCTGGAGGCTGCGGCTCCTGGCCAGGTGAGTGGTTGGTGGCTTGTCCCTGTGTGAGAAAGTGCGAATGTGTGCACGAGCCCCGGCTCCAGACGTGGCTGAGTCCTTCTGTCTGGGTATTGGCTGATCAGATATCTTGCTCTTGTACGGGTAATGAGCCAGGCAGCTGTTTGGGGGCCCTGAGGAGGCTGCTGTGTCCTTGCTCTCCACCACGGAGGTGCCTCTGGGGGCCCTTTCTGAAGCAGATCTGCCTGCCCATGGGGGCAGCTTGGAGAAGGCCTAGGCTGTTGTCTCTGTTGAAATCAGCCAGTGTCTTTAGAGACACTGTGCTAGGTCGTCTTTGGCTTGTTTTTGAGGGTGGATAAGGAGGAAGTGGTAGGTGCAGGGGTCTGTTTACTCTGCAGAGCCCAGACGCGGGCTTGCGGGGTGTCTGGAGTGAGTCTAACCACATAGTGGGCTGTGACTCCCATGTCCTCGGCCTTGCCATGTGCCCCTCCTTCCTGAAGTACTCCCCGGGATGTTGTCACCTGTGGGACTTGTTCCCGATTCAGCCCCCTCTCAGGAAGCTTGCTTTTATATCTTTCACAGGTAGAGGGCCTGGTCTCTTGCCTCCTTCTTGTGAACAGGAGTTTGAGACCAGCCTGGGCAACAAAGACCCTGTTTCTACAAAAAAAAGAAAAAAAAATTTGAAAAAATCAGCCAGGTATGGCAGTGTGCACCTGTAGTCCTAGCTACTCAGGAGGCTGAAGGGAGAGGATCACTTGAGACCAGAGTAGGCAACATAGCGAGGCCCAGTCTCTACCAAAAAATAAAAAAATTAGCCAGGTGTGATGGTGCATGCCTGTGGTCCTGGCTACTCGGGAGGCTGAGGCAGGAGGATTGCCTGAGCCAGGGAGTTTGAGGCTGCAGTGAGCCGAGATCACTTCAACCTGGGCATGGCCTGCAGCCCCTCTGGCCCCTCTTTCTCAGCATTGAAACTGAAGTCTGGAATCCCCAGGTGCGTCTCATTCATGTTGGTAAAGCCCCTCAGAAAGCTAAAGAGTGGCGAGGTGGGGCCGGGCATGGAGGCTCACGCCTGTAATCCCAGCACTTTGGGAGGCCGAGGTGCGTGGGTTGCTTGAGGCCAGGAGTTCCAGACCAGTCTGGCCAACATGATGAAACTCTGTCTCTAGTAAAAATACAAAAATTAGCTGGGTGTGGTGGTGTGTGACTGTAATCCCAGCTATTTGGGAGGCTGAGGGAGGAGAATTGCTTCAACCCAGGAGGCGGAGGCTGCAGTGAGCCGAGATAGCACCACTACACTCCAGCCTGGGTGACAGAGCAAGACTCTGTCTCAAAAAAAAAAAAAAAAAAAAAAAAAAAAAGGCAAGGTGGAGTCCCCGTTCCTGGGCCTTTTCTCCTCCCTGGCTGTCCTCTCCTGTCCCTGGACACTTTACCTTCCCTCTCCACCCCCAACCCCAGCTAGCCTCAGCTTGTGGACCAATGCATCTTGGGGCATTGAGGCAGAGGCTGCTGGGATCCCTGAACCCCTCCTTCCTGGCAGATAAGTCTCATTGACTCGCTAGCTCGAATCCAACATGTGTTTTTAGCTTAAACAAACCCTACTTTGAAGAACTGGCTGGTAGTGATGCAGATCTGAACATACAGATATCAAATGATGTCCAAGGTACAGATGAAAGAAACACATGTCACAAAATGGCATGTTCAAGATCCCCTCCTCGAATTACCATGTCAGTGCCTGTGCAGCTGCAGCCGGGCTGGGCACACAGAGGGTGGTGAGTTTTTAAAGGTTAACTTGGTGGAGGAGTGGGGTTATTGGAAGCTAACGTTCAATATATTTCTGAAGTATTTATATCCTTTAAGCCCTCACTATGTGTTACTTTGAAATCCAAAAAATGCTATTTTGTAGAAGCCAACTCTTGGATGATGACATGTCTTAATTTAAAATGGTTCTCAGTTCATGAAAGTTGCTCACAGGAAAAACTCAGCTAGATCTAGAAAAGTATAGAAAGCTCAAAAATGGCCTGAAATGCCCCAACCAGAGGAAGCGACTCAATACCGTTAATAAGACCTGGAAGTCCATAATGGTCCCTTACTCAGAAGGATTGAAAGGGTAAGAGGTGGCTGGGCATGGTGGCTCATGCCTGTAATCCCAGCACTTTGGGAGGCCAAGGCGGGCGGATCACCTGAGGTCAGGAGTTCGAGACCAGCCTGGCCAACATGGTGAAACCCTGTCTTCACTAAAAATACAAAAATTAGCTAGGCATGGTGGCGCATGCCCGTAATCCCAGCTACTCAGGGGGCTGAGGCAGGAGAATTGCTTGAATCTGGAAGGTGGAGGTTGCAGTGAGCTGAGATCACGCCACTGCATTCTAGCCTGGGCGACAGAGCCAGACTCCATCTCACAAAAAAAAAGAGGGTGTTGGTAAGAAGCTTGGGAGCCTAGGGGACCTTGGGCATGGTAGGGTTCCTTGGCAGGGCCTCTGGTACCTGTCACACAGGGCAGGGGTCTTACAGTGTATAGGGAGCAGCTGAGCTGGCCTGAGACCCCAGGGATAAATAAAACCCCTAGGTGGATGACATTTGTCTTAATCACTAGTTCGGCTTTCTTGGGATCTCAAACTTGAAGAACCAATGAACAAAGGTACTGACTTGGGCCAGGTGCAGTGGCTCATATCTGTAATCCAAGCACTTTGGGAGGCTGAAGTGGGAGGATCACTTGAGCCCAGGACTTCGAGACAAGCCTGGGCAATGTAGCAAGACACCTGTCTTTCTAAAATGCAAAAAACTTAGCTGGGTGTGGTGGTGTGTGCCTGTAGCCCCAGCTCCTTTGGGAGGCTGAGGTGAGAGGTCATCTGAGCCCAGAAAGTCGAGGCTGTAGTGAGCTGTGATTGTGCCACTGCACTCCAGCCTGGATGGTGGGAGTAAGACCTATCTCAAAACAAAAAGGGGCAGGGTACTGACTTGGACTGTGTATAACTCAGTGCTTTTCTTTTTTTTTTTTTTTTAATTAGAGAAGGGATCTCTTGCCTAGGCTGGAGCGTAGTGGTGCAATCATAACTCGCTGCTGCAGCCTCAACCTACTGGGCTCAAGTGATCCTCCTGCCTTAGCCTCCTGAGTAGCTGGGACTGCAGTTGTACAGCAACCACCTGGCTATATATTTTTTTCATTTATTTGTAGAGATGGGGTCTCACTGTGTTGCCCCAAGTCTTGAACTCCTGGTCTCAAATAATCCTCCCAAACTGCTGGGATTACGGGCATGAGCCTCTGCCTGGCTGTCAACACTTTCTTAAGTAAAGAACGACAGGGCACCCAGCTCTCCTGGTCGCTGCCAACAGCCATGTGAAGGGAAAGAAGCGGAATCCGAGCTGTGACCAGAGAAGCCTGGAGAAGCAACAGGGATCTGCTCTGCCGCTGGGTTTGCAGAATGTCCCTACACGAAGTGATCTGCTAGCTCTATAACCTTCAACCCTCTCCCTAAAGATACCTCAAGGAGTGGGGAGGACCCTGTCTCATCTGCAGCTGAGCTTTCTCGGCTTCAAGCCATTTCCTGTGATATTTGGTTTGAAGGAAGGTGGCAAATGCCTTTTTTTTTTTTTTTTTTTTTTTTTTTGAGACAGTCTCGCTCTGTTGCCCAGGCTGGAGTGCAGTGGCACCATCTCAGCTCACTGCAACCTCTGCCTCCCGGGTTCAAGCGATTCCAGTGCCTCAGCCTCCCGAGTAGCTGAGATTACAGGCGCCCACCACCACGCCCAGCTAATTTTTGTATTTTTAGTAGAGACGGGGTTTCACCATGTTGACCAAGCTGGTCTCGAACTCCTGACCTTGTGATCCACCCACCTCAGCCTCCCAAAGTGCTGGAATTACAGGCATGAGCCACCGCGCCGAGTTTCTAATAGCCATGGCTTCCAGGTTGTGGCAGAAGGATGAGCAGTTCCCTTGGCAATGGTCTTAGAGCTGAGTGCTGTCTTGGGTTTTCCCAGAGGCAGGATTGCAGCCCCTTGTACCAAACTGGCCTCT
This sequence comes from Homo sapiens, assembly GCF_000001405.40. Lineage (NCBI taxonomy): Eukaryota > Metazoa > Chordata > Mammalia > Primates > Hominidae > Homo > Homo sapiens. Next base: position 122,591 of record NW_017852929.1, on the reverse strand, counting down.
TCCTCATGCATGCTCAGTCTCATTAACTGAGATAATTGTGCCATTGGCAACATGTGAAGCGTAGCAACAAGGTGGCAGCTAGAGCAGGTATTTCAGAAGTGGCCTCTATTGTTTCTGTTGCATGAAATGGGCTTTCCTCCTTTCTAACATCTCACCCCATGTGTTAAGTGCCACCCATAGTGGTGGCCTGCCTTCCCTCCCTCCCCTCCCCTCCCCTACCTCCCCTCCCCTCCCCTACCTCCCCTCCCCTCCCCTACCTCCCCTCCCCTCCCCTACCTCCCCTCCCCTCCCCTACCTCCCCTCCCCTTCCCTACCTCCCCTCCCCTCTTTCCTTTGAAACAGGGTCTCTCTTTGTTATCCAGGCTGGATTGCAGTGGCGTGATCTCTGCTCACTGCAGCCTCCACCTCCTGGGCTCAAGCGATTCTCCCTCCTCAGCCTCCCAAGTAGCTGGGACTACAGGTGCACACCACCACAACTGGCTAGTTTTTTTGTTTTTGTTTTTGTTTTTTGTTTTTTTTTGAGATAGGGTCTTGCTCTGTCACCCAGACTGGAGTGCAGTGGTGCGATCTCAGCTCACTGTAACCTCTGCCTCCCAGTTTCAAGTGATTCTCCTGCCTCAGCCTCCCAAGTAGCTTGGACTACAGGCACATGCCACCATCCCTGGCTAATTTTTTTTTTTTTTTGTATATTTTTAGTAGAGACGGGGTTTTGCCACATTGGCCAAGGATGATCTCAAACTCCTGACCTCAGAGGATCTGCCCACCTTGGCCTCCCAAGGTGCTGGGATTACAGGTGTGAGCCACTGCACTGGCCATGGTGGTGATCTCATGCTTTCCTAATTAGACCTTGTTACAGATTATTGGCTGCAAAGCTTGGACGCAGGAGTCAAATCTGATGTCCTGGTTCTGATACTTCACAGTTATGGGAACTTTGGGAAATGATGTCTGAGATGGCTCCTTCACCTGCAAAATGGGGATATTTTTACCTTAGTATTAGATGAAACTTCATTTAATCCTAAATGTCTAAAATTCTGGGCACATAATAAATGTTTTGGGCCAGGTGCAGTGGCTCATGTGCATAATTCCAGTGATTTGAGAGGTGGAGGCAGGAGGATCACTTGAGGTCAGGAGTTCAAGAACAGCGTGGGCAACACAGCAAGACCGCATCTCTGAAAAATGAAAACATTAGCTGAGTATGGTGGTGCATATCTGTAGTCCCAGCTACTTGGGGGGCTGAGGTGAGAGGATTGCTTGAGCCCAGTAGTTTGAGGCTGCAGTGAGCTATGATTGTATCACTGCACCCCAACCTGGGTGACAGAGTAAGACCCCATCTCTACAAAAAATTTAAAAAATTAGTGAAGTGTGGTAGCTTGTTCCTGTGGTCCCAGCTACTCAGGAAGCTGAGGTGGGAGGATCATTTGAGCCCAGGAGGTCAAGGCTGCAGTGAGTTATGATTGCTCCGCTGCACTTCAGCCTGGGCAACAATGAGACTCTGTCTCTCTCTCTTTTTTTTTTTTTTTTTTTTTTTTTTTAAAAGGCCAGGTGCAGTGGCTCACACATGTAATCCTAGCACTTTGGGAGGCCAAGACGGTGGATCATGAGGTCAAGAGTTTGAGACCATCCTGGCCAACATGGCAAAACCCCGTCTCTACTAAAAATACAAAAGTTAGCTGGGGGGTGTGGTGGTGTGAGCCTTTAGTTCCAGCTACTTGGGAGGCTGAGACAGGAGAATCACTTGAACCCGGGAGGCGGAGGTTGCAGTGAGCTGGGATCGACCCACTGCACTCCAGCCTGGCAACAGAGTGAGACTCTGTCTCAAAAAAAAAAAAAAATCCCTTTTGGCCATTGCTCCTTAAATAGGCCCATAATTCTTGTCTACTCCAGACTTATAAATGCCCTATGTCTCAACTCTTGGAGACCTAGAAATAGAATCTCATTTAAACCCAAATTTTGGTTCAACTGATGATCCTCTTGACATTGGTTATTCTGGTGACTAGGAATCTAGTTTTCAAGATGTTAAAAGGATACTGTGATCAATAGCAATGATTTTTTCTTTTCTTTTTTTCTTTTCTTTTTGAGACAGGGTCTCTGTCACCCATGCTGGAGTGCAGTGGCACAATCATGGCTCACTGCAGCCTTGATTTCTGGGGCTCAGGCGATCCTCCCACCGAGTATCTGGGACTATAGGTGCCCATCACGATGCCGGATTAATTTTTAATTTTTTTAATCTTTTTTGGTAGAGATAGGGTCTCACCATTTTGCTGAGGCTGGTCTCAAACTCCTGCCTCAAGCTTCTGCCTTGGCCTCCCAAAGCGTTGAGACTATAGGTGTGAGCCACTGTGCCTGGCCAATTTAGTCTTAAAAAGCAACGCTTCCTTATGGGGCAGAATTTGAGATTACTTAAAAGTAAGCCATGCATGGTGGCTCACTCCTGTAATCCCAGCACTTTGGGGGACCGAGGCGGGTGGGCCACCTGAGGTCAGGAGTTTGAGACCAGCTCAGCAATATGATGAAACCCCATCTCTACCAAAAAAAGAAAAAAAATACAAAAATTAGCTGGGCGTGGTGGCAGGTGCCTGTAATCCCAGCTACGTGGGAGGCTGAGGCAGGAGAATTGCTTGAACCGAGAGGTGGAGGTTGCAGTGAGCTGAGATCGCACCACTGCACTCCAGCCTGGGCTACAAGAATGAAACTCTGTCTCAAAAAAAAAAAAAAAAAAAAAAAAAAAAGGACACATGTGGATCGGACACCAGTGTTTCCTAGCCTGATCTCCCAGTGCTGAGGCTGTCTTGCAATGTTGTTCTCTTCCCTTCCCAGGTATACTGAGTTCTGATGTGTTGCTAGGAGTAAAGCTACCTCGAGCTTGAAGTTGTATTGAAGAAATCTAAAGCCTGAGATAGTCTTAAGCCAACTTGTGTGAGGGCTCCCTGGGCAGCAACCAAAGGACTCTGGATTCACTGAGGTCCCTTTGTCCACATTGGTTGGGGAGGAGGTCAACATGACTCACAATGATTGAGAGCTTCGTGAATGTTTAAACCAGGTGTCACCCTCCACCTCTCTGGCTTTGAGATCGGAGAGTGGGAGAGATTGGTCAATTCCAGGAACTAATTTGCATTTCCCAGGATCAGATTTGCAGACAAGGTATATAGGCTATTCTTTCCCAGGCTGTGGAGGAAACTAATGCTTTAAAGCAGGCAGAGCCACCAGGATCTGAAACCCAGAGGGATGGTGTGGGCTGTTGGTTTCCTCTGCTCTGAGGCTCAGCTGACATGCTCTCCTGTAGCTCCTGTCTTGCTGTGGGTGGCTGGAGCTTGATTTTAGGGACTTGTCCCTGGCGCAGTGACTACTGTTGCCAGCAGTGCCTCTGATACTAACTCTGTTGTTCTATCTCCAACTCCCTCCTTTGTCCTGGTTCTTTGCTAATTCTTCATTCTCTCAGGCCCTAATGTGAGCATCCTCAAGACTCGATCCTTGTTCTGATCTTGCATAGAGCTTGTCTCTCTTCTTACAACATCAGTCTTGGCCCTAAATTACTTTTTTTGAGACAGAGTCTCACTCTGTTGCCCAGGCTGGAGTGTAGTGGCTTGATCTAGGCTCACTGCAACCTCTGCCTCCCAGATTCAAGCGATTCTCCTGCCTCGGCCTCTCAAGTAGTTGGGATTACAGGCACATGTGCCACCACACCTGGCTAATCTTTGTATTTTTAGTAGAGACAGGGTTTTGCCATGTTGGCCAGGTTGGTCTCGAACTCCTGACCTCAGGTGATCCACCCGTCTTGGCCTCCCAAAGTGATGGGATTATAGGCATGAGCCACTGTGCCCAGCCAGCTCTAAATTCTCTGATGCAAATCTCCAAGTTGTCTGCACTGCCCCTTTCAAATTGATATGTCTGAATTAGTCTTTTCTACCAAAACTATTCTTGGCTGCTATTCACTGAAGACAAGAGTCAGTTGACTTTCTTTATCCAATTTTCTCTTTTCTATAATGTAGTCTGGACCATCTCGTATGGTCAGAAACAGATGAATATTACATACCTGTAAGAAATATTCCCTGCTGCCTTGTGAACATTCAAAGTTGGGGCCAGGTGCAGTGGCTCATGCCTCTAATCCCAATGCTTTGGGAGGCTGAGGGGGAGGATTGCTTTAGCCCAGGGGTTTGAAACCAGCCTGGGCAACATAGTGAGATCCCATCTCTACAAAAAATACAAATTAGCCAGCCTTGGTGACTTGTGCCTGTAGTCCTAGCTGCTCAGGAGGCTGAGGCAGGAGGATCACTTGAGCTCAAGAGGTTGAGGCTGCAGTAAGCCATGATTACACTATTTATTGCACTCCAGCCTGGGCAACGGAGCAAGACTGTCTCAAAAGCAAAACAAAAACACAAAAGCAAACTCCCTCCAATTTAAAAAAAGTTCAAACTTGGCCTGATTTGAATAACCACCTCTAACTGAGGGCCAACTCCCTGTCTCGTATCACACAGTACCCTCCCTTGACAAATATTTGAGTACCTACTTTGTCATGTGTTGTGAAAGAGGTAAGAAATCCCTGCCTAAGACACAGTACTGTTACCATGGGGAGTAGGAGGAGAGGAAGTTGGACAAACAAGAAAATATCAGGCAGTGGTTAAAGCTGAGAAGAAAATAAGACTGGGAAGACAGTTAAAAGGGCTTTCAGAGATGTTTAAGCAGAGACTGAATGAAGAGGAGCCAAGTGTGCAGAGATCCTGGGCAGAGCAGCTACTTCAAAGGCCCGAGTACAATGAACCTGGAACACTTGATAATGAAGCCCAGGGGTCTAGAACACAATGATCAAGGAAAGAGTTGTTGGAGGTGAAGTGGGCTGGGGCCAGTGCAGAAAGTGAATTTTCTTCTAAACTCATTGGGTAGCCAGGAGAGTTTTTTTAAGCAGGAGAGTTAGATCAGATTCTCCTTGATTTTTTCTTTTTTTTGTTTGTTTGTTTTGGAGACAGGGTCTGGCTCTGCTGTCCAGGCTGGAGTGCAGTGGTGCAATCGTGGCTCACTGCAGCCTTGACTTCCTGGGCTCCAGAAATCCTCCCACCTCAGCCTCAAGTAGCTGGGACTACAGGTATGTGCCACCATGCCCAGCTTATTTTTATATTTTTTGTAGAGACGGGGGTCTTGCTTTGTTGCCCAAGCTGGTCTTGAACACCTGGCCTTAAGCAAGTCTCCACCTTAACCTCTCAAGTTGTTGAGATTACAGGCATGAGCCACTGTGCCTGACTAATCAGATTTTTTTCTTTTTTTTTTTTTTTTTTTTTTTTTTTTGAGTTGGAGTCTCGCTCTGTTGCCCAGGCTGGAGTGTAGTGGTGCGATCTTGGCTCACGGCAACCTCCGCCCCCTGGGTTCAAGCGATTCTCCTGTCTCAGCCTCCTGAGTAGCTGGGACTACAGGTGCCTGCCACTACGCCTGGCTAATTTTGTACTTTTAGTAGAGACAGGGTTTCGCCATGTTGGTCTGGCTGGTCTCGAACTCCTGACCTCAGGTGATCCACAATCACATGTACTCTGTGCAAAGAACAGATTGGAATAAGGCAATGGGAGAAGCAGGGAGACCAGCTGGAAGGCAACTGCAGTAGTGTGGGTAAGAGGTGATAGTGGTCTGGACTGGGGTGGAGGCAGTCTACTGAAGGATTCTCAGTGACTTGTGCTTGAGACTGTCCTGACCCCATGTGCTGGTGCATTGGGTGTGGGGTTTTCCTGTTGCAGCCTTGGCGGGTCTCCTCACCACCCTGTACATATGCCTGATTTATAACTCCTCAGACACACCGTGTGAAAGCCTTCTTTTCTTTTTCTTTTTGAGACGGAATCTTACTCTGTTGCCCAGGCTCGAGTACAGTGGCGCAATCTCAGCTCACTGCAACCTCCGCCTCCCGGATTCAAGTGATCCTCCTGCTTCAGCCTCCCAAATAGCTGGAATTATAGGTGTCCGCCACCATGCCTGACTAATTTTTGTATTTCTAGTAGAGATGGGGTTTCCCCATGTTGCCCAGGCTGATCTCGAACTCCTGGCCTCAAGTGATCCATCTGCCTCAGCCTTCCAAAGTGCTGGGATTATAGGTGTGAGCCACTGCACCTGGCATGAAAGGCTTCTATATATGACAACCAGCCCATCTGCCTCATTTGAGGACCCAGTTGAAGCCAAAGCACTTTTAAAAGCTTTCCTTTACTGCTATGCCCAGCATTGGTGGTCTTGGTGCTCCCACAGTGTTCACAGCCTACTGAGCTGGTGTGGTGATGCTTATAGAAGCTGACTTCAGGTTCATGCCTGTAATCCCAGCACTTTGGGAGGCTGAGGTGGGTGGATCACAAGGTCAGGAGTTCAAGACCAGCCTGGCCAACGTGGTGAAAAGCCGACTCTACAAAAACAAACAAAACCAAAAATAAGCCAGGTGTGGCCGGGCACGGTGGCTCACGCCTGTAATCCCAGCACTTTGGGAGGCCGAGGTGGGTGGATCACGAGGTCAGGAGATAGAGACCATCCTGGCTAACACGGTGAAACCCCGTCTCTACTAAAAATACAAAAAAATTTGCTGAGCGTGGTGGCAGGTGCCTGTAGTCCCAGCTACTCGGGAGGCTGAGGTAGGAGAATGGCGTGAACCCGGGAGGCGGAGCTTGCAGTGAGCCAAGATTGCGCCACCGCACTCCAGCCTGGGTGACAGAGTGAGACTCTGTCTCAAAAAATAAATAAATAAAATAAATAAAAAGTGAGTCATGTGTGGTGGCTCATGCCTGTAGTCCCAGCTACTCAAGAGGCTGAGGTGGGTGAATCACTTGAGTCCAGGAGGTCAAGGTTGCAGTGAGCCGTGATTGTGCCAATGCACTCCAGCCCGGGTGACAGAGTGAGACTCTGATGCCAACAAGCAGGTCTTGCAGAAATAGGACATGGAGCTGAGAAGTCCAGACTGTTGTTCTTGCTGCCAGGTTGAGCCCAAGGGTTGGGGACGGGGAGTCTGTGCTGTGTATATGGGTTCTAACTCTCACTCAGCTTCTCTGGTCCCAAAAAATAAAAAATGCTGGCTGGGAGCGGTGGCTCATGCCTGTAATCCCAGCACTTTGGGAGGCCGAGGTGGGCGGATCACAAGGTCAGGAGTTCAAGACCAGCCTGGCCAACGTGGTGAAACCCCGTCTCTACTAAAAAGACAAAAATTAGCCGGGCGTGGTGGCAGGCGCCTATAGTCCCAGCTACCTGGGAGGCTGAGGCAGGAGAACCACTTGAACCCGGGAGGCGGAGGTTGCAGTGAACTGATATCCCCCCACTGCACTCAAGTCTGGGCAACAGAGCGAGACTCTGTCTCAAAAAAAAAAAAAAAAAAAAAAAAAAAAAAAAAAAAAAAAGCTAGCTTCCTGGGTCTGCCCTTTGCTCCACTGTGAGCCCTTTAAGGGTTAGAGCCTTATGATACTGACATAATAACCCACACAATGGGCACTGAAAATTTCTTTGTTGCTGTCCAACCTGCAGGTAACTTACTACTTCCAGTCAATATGCCGACCTTAGATGCTCCAGAAGAGAGGCGGAGAAAATTTAAGTACCGAGGCAAAGATGTGTCTGTGAGTATGAAGCACCCACCTGCTTCTATTGGGGACCAGTGCAATCTGCATAAAAAGCGGGGTGAAGAGACCAGGCGCGGTGGCTCATGCCTGTAATCCCAACACTTTGAGAGGCTGAGACGGGCAGATCACAAGGTCAGGAGGTTAAGACGATCCTGGCCAACATGGTGTAACCCCGTCTCTACTAAAAATACAAAAATGACCTGGGTGTGGTGGCTTGTACTTGTAATCCCAGCTACTTGGGAGGCTGAGGCAGGAGAATTGCTTGAACCTGGGAGGCAGAGGTTGCAGTGAGCTGAGATCAGGCCACTGCACTCCAGCCTGGGCGACAAGAGAGAAACTCCATCTCAAAAAAAAAATAGCGGGGGGCAGGGAGGTGGTGGAGAGATGGGTTGAAAAGGCAAATATAGCAAAAGATTCTTTAGATAGATGACTAGGTGTTTCCCTGAATTATCCTTCCAACTTTTCTGTATGTTTGCTATTTTCATCATAAAATATTAAAGGTGGAGAAGACAAAAGCATGTGGACTTAGGAGCCAGACAACTGTGGAATCAAATCAAAGTTTCCGTGGAATCTTGCAATTATTTAATTTCAGAACCCCAGTTTCTTCATCCATAAAACAGGGCTGCTTAGCTGGGCATGGTAGCTCATGCCTGTGTTCCCAGTACTTTGGGGGAGGCCAAGGTGGGAGGATCGCTTGAAGATAGGAGTTCTAGACCAGCCTGGGTAACATACCAAGACCTCCAACTCTACAAAAACAAAAAATCGGCCAGGTGTGGTGGTGTGTGCCTGTAGTCTCAGATACTCTGGTGGCTGAGGCAGGAGGATTGCTTGAGCCCAGGAGTTCAAGGCTGCAGTGAACTGTGATTGTGCCACTGCACTCCAATCTGGGTGACAGAGCCAGACCCTGTCTCTAAAACAAAACCAAATAAAAAACCAGGCTGGGCTGGGCATGATGGCTCACACCTGTAATTCCAGCACTTTGGGAGGCCAAAGTGATCACTTGAGGTCAGGAGTTCGAGACCAGCCTGGCCAACATGGTGAAACCCTGTCTGTACTAAGAATACAAAAAATTAGATGTGCATGGTGGCGGGGGCCTGTAATCCCAGCTACTTGGGAGGCTGAAGCAGGAGAACTGCTTGAACCTGGGAGGTGGAGGTTGCAGTGAGTCGAGATTGTGCCACTGCACTCCATCCAGGCGACAGTGTGAGACTTCGTCTGAAAAAAATAAAAAACCAGGCTGCTATTTATCTCCGAGGAGCTGGATTGCTTCCTCAAGGGCCAGTATACAGGTGTTTACAGCTGCTCACGTCAATGAGGCTTACCAAGGAGCTAAAACGTTAGCATATAGGTATGGCCAACAGGCATGCCTTGTAGAAATAGGACTTGGAACTGAGAAGTCCAGGCTGTTCTTGCTTCCAGGTTGAGCCCAAGGGCTGGGGACGGGGGGTGTGTGCTGTGTATATGGATTCTAACATTCACTCGGCTTCTTTGGTCACATAGTTTTGTGTTGCAAGCTCTGTCCTCCATCTCTGTATCTTTTTATTTTTGAGATGAAGACTTGCTTCATAGTCCAGGCTGGAGTGCAGCAGTGTGATCTTGGCTCACTGCAACCTCTGCCTCCCAGGTTCAAGCGATTCTCCTGCCTCAGCCTCCCAAGTAGCTGGGATTACAGGTGTGCACAATTACGCCTGGCTAATTTTTTGTATTTTTAGTGGAGACAGGGTTTTGCCATGTTGGCCAGGCTGGTCTCAAACTCCTGGCCTCAAGTGATCTGCCTGTCTTGGCCTCCCAAAGTGCTGGGATTACTGGCATGAGCCACTGCTCCCAGCCCCCCATCTCTGTATCTTGACTGGCATCGTATAAGTTTAGCTCCACCTTGGGAATCCAGAAGCCTGATTAGGAGAACGAGGGAAGCACAGGGTCACAGCAGCCTGGTTAGGCCACCATCAGGAACAAAATCACTTTTTTTTTTTTTTTTTTTTTTTTTGAGATGGAGTCTTGCTCTGTCACCAGGCTGGAGTGCAATGGCGTGATCTTGGCTCACTGCAACCTCTGCCTCCTGGGTTCAAGCAATTCTCCTGCCTCAGCCTACCATGGTGTGTACCACCATGCCCGGCTAATTTTTTTTTTTGCATTTTGGTAGAGATGGGGTTTCAACATGTTGGCCAGGATGGTCTCGATCTTCTGACCTCATGATCCCCCTGCCTCGGCCTCCCAAAGTGCTGGGATTACAGGCATGAGCCACCGTGCCTGGCCCAGGAACCAAATCACTCTTACAGTAACCTATTCCAACAATGAAGCTGTCCGGCTTCTAGGACCACTGAAAATTAAAGGAAATCAGTGAGAACGAAGGAATTGAGTCTTCACAGCAACAGGAAGGGCCTGCCAAAGAGAAGAGAGAAAGGTACAAAAGTTTTTACAGGCAGGAACTGCCTAGCGATGGGGCAACAGTATGATGGGCTCAATGATTCCCAAATGTGTTCCTACCTTGCCATATAATGCCACCATGACCCTTTTAAATTTTTTCCTTTTATTATTATTTGATACACGGTCTTGCTCTGTCATCCAGGCTGGAGTGCAGTGGCACGATCATAGTTCACTGCAGCCTCTGCCTCCCAGGCTCAAGTGATCCTCCCACCTCAGCCTCCCAAGTAGCACCATGCCTGGCTAATTTTTTATTTCTTTGTAGAGACAGGGTCTCACTATGTTGGCCGGGCTGGTCTTGAACTCCTGAGCTCAAGCAATCCTCCTGCCTTGGTGTCCCAAAGTGCTGAGATTGCAGGTGGGAGCCACGGTGCCCGGCTGATGACCCATTTTCAAGCAAGAATTAAGTAGCTTAAAGAACCAAAAGTATCTAATACATGGTGACTTCTTTATAATTGTTCCTGAAATGTCTTCAGCCCAAACTCAGCTATTTAGAAAGGTTAGGTCATTTCCTCAGGATTCTTAATACTATAAAGTTTGAGTCATTAACTGACATAAGATCGGGGAGGGGAGAGAGAGATTGAGAGAGAGAGAGATTTGTAGAGGCAGGGTCTTGCTCTATTGCCCAGGCTGGAGTGCAGTGGTACAATCGTAGCTCACTGCAGCCTAGACCTCCCTGGCTCAAGGGATCCTCCCACCTCAGACTCCCAAGTAGCTGGGACTACAGGAGCATGCTACCATGCCCAGCTAATTTTTTGGTAGAAACAGGGTCTTGCTATGTTGTCCAGGCTGGTCTAGAATTCCTGGCCTCAATGATCCTCCCACCTTGACCTCCCAAAGTGCTGGGATTATAGGCACGAGATACCATGCCCAGCCTTGTTTTAATTTTGATTTCCCTCAGTATGTAGACTTGGGGATGAAGGCTTTAATGGCTTATAGACAGGTTTCATTAATAGTGGAAATGGGCCATGCACAGTTGCTCAGCCTGTATTCTCAGCACTTTGGGAGACTGAGGCAGGTAGATCACTTGAGCCTAGGAATTCAAGAGCAGCCTGGCCAACATGGAGAAACCCCATCTCTACTAAAAATATAAAACATAGCCGAGTGTGGTGACACATGCCTGTAATCCCAGCTACTTGGGAGGCTGAGGCACAAGAATGGCTTGAACCCCAGAGGCAGAGGTTGTAGTGGGCTGAGATCATGCCACTGCCCTCCAGCCTGGGTGACAGAGTGAGACTCCATCTCAAAAAGAAAACAAATATATAAATATATATATAAATATAGTGGAAATGATCAGGGCATCTAGGACATGGGCAGTCCCCTAATCGTCCCCAACACCATCTATCCTAGCCACCACCGAAAAGGCCTGGGTACATTCAGGAAGCAGCCATATTCTTCAGGAAATCATCAGCATCAATGAAGATGTGTTCAGACTTAGGGCAATGGGATGCTTTGCTGGGGTGTTTTTATAGCTGAGAATCCTGACCTGTCAAGGTTGTGCATGGTCTTGCTTTATTTTGGAGGGAAGATCAAATTATTTTCTAGAAGTGGTATAGCAGAAAACAGAAGAGGAGGTAAACAGAGCTGAGATGATTTACTAACTGTGTGATCTGAACTTTTCCAGCCTATTGTATCTGTAAAAATGAAATTGGATGCTTTGAAACATGTTTGACAGACTAAATGTGACATCCCCACTCCTGGTTCTAAATGCTCCAATTTCTTTTCCTCACTAGCTGAGGCGACAGCAGAGGATGGCGGTCAGTCTGGAGCTCCGAAAGGCCAAGAAAGATGAACAGACCTTAAAGAGAAGGAATATCACGAGCTTCTGCCCTGACACACCTTCTGAAAAAACAGCCAAAGGGGTGGCGGTCAGTATGTAGTGTTTAGAGTAGTCTTGGGCAAAATATGTTCTTAGCAAGTGTCTCTGGCTGGATAATATTTAATAGATTCAGAACTTGCAAACTCTCGTTTTGGGCTTTTAAAGAAAGGAGTGAAGAGATTATGGTTTGAGCTAAACTGCCTTTGTCAAAAGGCTAATGGCCATTACTCCTATGGCTCTGAGTCTGTGGAATCTAGATTCTAGTGGGGGATGGAGAGGATTTTTATTATACTTTTTATTTTTATTTTTTGAGACAGGTCTCACTCTGTCACCCAGGATAGAGTGCTGTGGCACAATCAGAGCTCATTGCAGCCCTAATCTCCCTGGGTTCAAGCGAACCTCCTGCCTCAGCTTCCAGAGTATGTGGGACTACAGGCACTCACCATCATGCCTGGTGAATTTTTTATTTTTTTATAGAGACAGGATTTTGCCATGTTTACCAGGAGGGTCTCGAACCCCTGGACTCAGGTGACCTGCCTGTCTCAGACTCCCAAAGTGCTGGGATTACAGGTGTGAGCCCCTGTACCTGGCCAAAAAGGTGATATTTCTAATTGAAAATTTACTTGCTATCCCTAAGCCTGAAAACCGAGGAAATGAGGGTTGGTGAAGGTTATTTCTCAGTAGAGGCATCTAGTCCCTGGATGGGTGAGGTCTTTCCTAACACTTTGACTTCTGTCCTGTCTTCCCTTCTCCATCTACCCCAACCTTATTAAATGCAGATCCTGGGTTGACTTCAAGGTTAGTCCGGTTTCTGTGAATACCGAATGCCTTGACCAGGAAGTTTTCCTTCTTAGCACCTCAATAATGGTGTCTCTATATTCTTTTGGGGTACACCACTGTCTGTCCTACCTTAACTACCCACATGCACCCTTTTTACCCTGCTTGGTTTAGGTCTCATAGAGGGCAGAGACTGGTTCCATTTTTGTCAAATTGGGTCCAATGATGTGTTCCCATTCATCAATGAAATGTGTACAGTCATTCTGAGTTGCCATAGGAGTCCAAACTATATCTCTAGTTAGCTTCATTTGTTTGGAGCAGTCCCTAGAATCCCCCCATCCAAGGATGGTATAAAACAAAAGGGAAAAAAGGCCAAGCACAGTGGTTCACACCTGTAGTCCTAGCACTTTGGGAGGCCGAGGTGGGTGGATCACCTGAGGTCAGGAGTTCGAGACCAGCCTGGCCAACATGGTGAAACCCCATCTCTACTAAGAATACAAAAATTAGCCGGGTGTGGTAGTGGGTGCCTGTAATCCCAGCTACTCAGGAGGCTGAGCAGGAGAGTTGCTTGAACCTGGGAGGCAGAGGTGGCACTAAGTCAAGATCGTGCCACTGCACTTCAACCCATGGGTGACAGAGTGAGACTCCATCTCACTCCAACAAACAACCCCAAAAAGTTGTTTTTCTTTTGGTCCCATATTAGCTTTTTTTTTTTGAGACAGAGTCTCACTCTGTCGCCCAGGCTGGAGTGCAGTGGCACGATCTTGGCTCACCGCAACTTCCGCCTCCTGGGTTCAAGCAATTCTTCTGCCTCAGCCTCCCGAGTAGCTAGGACTACAGGTGCCCACCACCACACCCAACTAATTTTTTGTATTTTTAGTAGAGACGGTTTTTTACCATGTTAGCCCGAATGGTCTCAACCTCCTGACCTTGTGATCTGTCTGCCTCAGCCTCCCGAAGTGCTGGGTTTACAGGCATGAGCCACTGTGCTTGGCATATTAGCATATTTTTTAAAGAAATGAAGGTATAATTCACATCAAAATTCACTCTTTAAGTGCCTAATCAGTGGTTTCTAGCATAGTCACAAAGTTGTGCAACCATTGCCACTAGCTAATTCCAGAACCTATTCATCACCTCAAATAGAAACTCCAGTCATTCAGGAGTCACTCCCCATTCCTCATCCCCCACCGTCTCTGCAAACACTAGTCTACTTTCTGCCTCTCTGGAATGACCTGTTCTAGACATTCCCTAGAAATGCAATCATATAAACATGTGAGCTTTTGTGTTGAGCTTTTATGTTTTCAAAGTTCATCCATGTTGTAGCATATATCAATACTTCATTCCTTTTGGGCAGAATGATAATCTGTTATATGGAGAGACCACATTTTGTTTATCCATTTATTTGTTTATAAGATGGAGTCTCACTCTGTCACCCAGGCTGGAATGCAATGGCACAATCTCGGCTCACTGCAACTTTTGTCTCCCGGGATCAAGCCATTCTCCTGCCTCAGCCTCCCGAGTAGCTAGGATTACAGGCATGCATCACCTGCTAATTTTATATTTTAGTAGAGATGGGGTTTCACCATGTTGTTCAGGCTGGTCTCGAACTCCTGACCTCAAGCAATTTGCCTGCCTTGGCCTCCTAAAGTGCTGGGATTACAGGTGTGAGCCACCGTGTCTGGCCTTGTTTATTTATTAATTGGGGGACTTTGGGTTGTTTCCACTTTTTGGTTGTTATGATGAATGCTGTTATTAACATCTGTGTACAAGTTTTTGTGTGGAAGGGTGTCTTCAGTTCCACTGAGAATAACTGGGTTATGAACTAAGCCTGTTTCACTCTTTGTGGTAGGCTGTATCGTGGCACCCCAAGTGTCTGCATCTTCTAGTCCCCAAACCTGTGAATATTACTCTATGAGGAAAGGGATGTAGCATATGTGATTAAATTAAGGATTTTGAGATAGAGAGGTGATACTGGATTATCTGGGTGGGCCTGGCATTCGATGATTCTTATAAGAAGAGCAATGTGATGACAAAAGCAGATGCCGGGCATGGTGGCTCATGCCTGTAATCCCAACACATTGGGAGGCTGAGGCAGGAGGATCACTTGAGCTGAGGAGTTCGAGACCAGCCTGGCCAACATGGTGAAACCGCGTCTCTACGAAAAATACGAAAATTAGCCAGGCCTGATGGCTCATGCCTATAATCCCAGCATATTAGGAGGCTGAGGCGGATGGATCACTTGAGGTCAGGAGTTCAAGACCATCCTGGCCAACATGGTGAAACCCTGTCTCTACTAAAAACATAAAAATTAGCTGGGTGTGGTGGCATGCACCTGTAGTCCCAGCTATTAGGAAGGCTGAAGCAGGAGAATAGCTTGAGCAGTGAGCTGAGATTGTGCCACTGCACTCCAGCCTGAGTAAGAGAGCGAGACTGTGTCCCCCCACCAAAAAAAAAATTCCAGCCCTTTGTCCATTTTTAAGTCAAATAAATTATTTTTTATTGAGTTGTAAGAATTCTTTATATATTCTAGATATTAAACCTTAGCAGATATGACTTGCAAATATATTCTGTTCTGTGGGTTGTCTTTTCACTTTCTTGATAGTATCCTTGGAAGCATAAAATTTTTTAATTTTGAAGAAGTCTAGTTTATTTTCTTGGTTGTTTGTGTTTTAGGTATCATATCTAAAAATTCATTGCCTAATCTAAGGTCACAAAGATTTGTGCCTATATTTCTTTCTAAGAGTTCATAATTTTAGCTCTTACTTTTAGGCCTTTGAGCCGTTTGGAGTTAATTTTTGTAAATGGTGAGAATGGGAGTCCAACTTTGTGCTTTTGCATGTGATACATAGTTGTACCAGCACAGTTATTTGAGACTATTTTCTACCCATTGAATTGTCTTGGTACCTTTGTCAAAAAAATCAATTGACCGTGAATGTGAGGGTTCATTTGTGGACTCTCAGTTCTCTTCCATTGATCTATACGTTTATCTTTGTCATCAAACAAAGGTTTGATTACTGTAGCTTTGTGGTAAGTTTCGAAATTGGGAAGTGAGTCTTCCAGCTTTGTTCTTTTTTTCAATATAATTTTGGCTATTCTGGACCCTTTGTATTTCCATATGAATTTTAAAATCAGATTGTCAATTTCTACAATAAGGGCAGCTCCGATTTTCATGGAGATTGCATTGAACCTATAGAATGGAGTCATTGAATTTATAAGGTTGGAGTATTGCCATCTTAACAATGTTAAGTCTTCCAGTCCATGAACATGGGATACCTTTTCATTTCAGTCCTTTTTTTTTTTTTTTTTTTTTTTCAGTTTGCAGCATATAACTCTTGGATTTCTTTCAATAAATTTATTACTAAGCATTTTATTCTTTTTATGTTGTAAATTAAATTGCTTTATTTTGATTTTTGATCACTGCTAGCATGTAAAGATACAATTAATTTTTGTATATCAATTCTGCAACCTAGCTGAATTTTATTAGCTCTAGGCTTTTGGTGTAAATTCCTTAGGATTTTCTACATATAAGATTAAGTCACTTGCAAATAGTTTTATTTCTTCCTTTCCAATCTGGGTGCACTTTATTTGTTGCCTAATTAATGCATCTAGAACTTCCAATGCCATGTTGGATAAAAGTGAAAAGAGCAATATCCTTGTCTTATTCCTGATCTTGGGGGAAATCTTTTAGACTTTCACCATTAAGTATGAGGCTACCTCTGAGTTTTTTGTAGATGCCTTTATCAGAATGAAGAAGTTTCCTTTTATTCCAGTTTGTTGAGTGTTTTTTTTTATTATGGAAGTATGTTGAATTTCATTAAATGTTTTTTCTGCATTGAGATGATCATGTGGGTTCCCCCCCCTTTATTAATACGGGGTACTATGTTGATTTTTTTTCACATGTTAAACCACTCCTGAATTCCTGAGTTAAATCCTAATTCATCATGATGACCAATATGTTGACCATATGTTTCATACGTTTAGGCATTTGGTTTCCTCCTATTTTGTTGAATTTTTGCATCAGTAGTTATAAGGGATATTAGCTTATACTTTTCTTGTAATATCCTTGGTTTGGTATCAGAGTAATACTAGCCTCTAAGAATGAGTGAGAATTTTTTTTTGTAAAGTTGGTAAAGTTTTTTTGTTGTTGTTTTTTTTGAGATGGAGTTTTACTCTTATCACCCAGGCTGGAGTGCAATGCTGCAATCTTGGCTCACTGCACCTCAGCTTTTTGGCCTTGATGCTTTCTGATAAGAAATCAGCTGTTAATCTTATTGAGGCTTTGTACATGAATTGCTTCTCTTTTGCTGGTTTCAATGTTTTTGATTCTGTAGTTTTGGCTTTCAACAGTTAGATTATAATATGTCTGGATCTTGGGATTTATTCCGTTTGGAGCTCATTGAACTTTTCAGATGTGTAGACTAATTATTCTATTGGATTTGGGAATTTCTTTGGCCATTATCTCTTTAAATATACTTTCTGCCTCTTTCCCTCTTCTCCTTCCTATTCTGCATTTGTTGGTATCCTTGATGATGTCCCACAGATCTCTAAAGATCTGTCAATTTTCATCTTCAGTCTCTCTTGTGTGTGTTATCTTCCTCAGACTGGATAATTCCAATTAACCTATCTTCAGCTTCACTGCTGCTTTATTATGTCTGCTTAAATCTGCTGTTAAGCCCCTTTAGTGAATTTTTGTTTCAGTTATTGTATTCTCCAATTCCAGAATTTGTATCTGGCTCCTTCCAATAACTGATATCTGTTCACTGATATTCTCTATTTAGTGTGACAGCATTGTTGCACTTTAGTTCTTTAGTCATGGTTTAGTTCTTTGACTATATTTAAAATCTTTGTCTAGTTCAACATCTGGTCTCCTCAGGGACTATTGCTATTGATTGCTTTTTTCACATATATATGTATATGTGTGTGTCACACTTTCTTTGCTTGTCTCACAATCTTTGTTGAAAACTAGTCATTTAAAATAGTGTGACAACTCTAGAAATCAGATTTTCCATTGCCCCAGGGTTTGCTGTTGTTGCTGGGTGTGCTCGTTTAGTAGTTTGAGCTAATTATCTAAAATCTGTATTTTTTTGTGATGTGTGGCTGCTGCAGTGTCTGCTTGGTTTGCTCAGTGGTCAACTAATAATTAGAGACTTATTTTAACACTTCGAACCACGAAGAAAAGAACACTCAATTTTTGCCAAGAAGCTCTGTGTTGGGGGCATGCGTTCACCACTCAGCCAGGCAGTTGACAATTCTGACGTAAGCCTTCACTTCCTGTTTGCACAGAGCTTCAAAGTCAGTGAGAGGGAAGAGCTGAGGGTCTTAGTTTTGTTGTTGTTGTTGTTGTTGTTGTTGTTGTTTTTAAGCATATGCATAGCCCTATACATGACATTCCCTTTCAAGTTTTTTTGTTAGCCTGTTGTTTATCCCAACTCTTATTCAACCTCTCAGGTAGCTGTGAAGTTAAACAACTTCCTCTGTTTTCAATGAACATTCTTAGGGAAAAGCCTTTTCATACTGACTAAGCTCTGAGTCAAAATAGTCTGTAAGTGGGATCTTTCAGGGAATGACCAGACAGATCAAATAATAATTTTCTGGGAATGAGGCTCCAAAGGAGGACCTACCTATTTTGCCTCTTCTGGTGGTTGGGAGGCTGTTGGTTTTTCACAATGATTGTGGACTGTTGGTTTTCAGGGTTACCATGGAGCTGAGGGTGGGTGGGAATAGGGCAAGTCAAAATGCCACAAAGCTCTCATGCTACTTACTGAGATTCAGCTGTCTTTCTTGGATAAACACTTCCTGGCTTGAATAAAACAATTGGCCGCAAGCCTTTGGTCAATTTCTACAGTGCTGAAAAAGTTGATTCTATTTTTGTCAGTTTTCTCTTTGCCTATGTGGAGGAGAGAATTTTTTGGATGTCCTTAGTCTGCCATTTTGTTTTGTATCCACTAGCACATTCTTACTGCACGGGATAAAAATGTTCTTGGGATCCAACTAATGATAGGAATTACTTCTCCCCTAAGCATGGGAAGGAACACACAGATCTGTGAGATCTGTGGACTATATTCTCCCCTCCCCAAATATAGAACAGCATGCAAGATGGGACATCCTGTTCAAGCCAGGCTGTTTTAATCAGATGGATGATGGCTAGAGTAGGTGATGTTTACAGCTCATTTTGGCAGACAGTCTGACCTGAATGTGTCTCTTCTTGCAGGTCAGCCTCACTCTGGGTGAAATAATCAAAGGTGTGAATAGCTCAGATCCAGTCCTATGTTTCCAGGCCACCCAGACAGCCAGGTATCTCCAAACAGACTTCTGCTGTTGCAGGTTCATAGTTAGCAATGAGCGTCAGTGATGGCTGGAGCGCCGGTGGCCTATTTGGTTTCTTGGCATTGGCAACATGCCCGTAAAACACAGGAAAAGGCTAGCCCATCTAAAAGACGAAATTGCTATTCTACACTGTCCTTGAGGGCAATTTAAAAGCTTCGATGTGTTGTCAGAGATGAATTGCTTAATTTACATTGGCCTCTACAGAAATTTCATCTTGTAGATAACACCTTAAAGGGGAAAATGTTGATTTAATACCGAAAAATGCTATCGGTTGAACACTAGGATCTTAAGTAGCTCCGGCCCAGCTATGTGGCTTATGTATAAAAGGAGGTTCTTTTTTTCTCTTTTGAGATGGAGTCTCACTCTGTCACCCAGGCTGGAGTGCAATGGTATGATCTTAGCTCACTGCAACCTCCGCCTACTGGGTTCAAGTGATTCTCCTGCCTCAAGCCTCCAGAGAAGCTGAGATTACAGGTGTGCACCACCACACCCAGCTAATTTTTATATTCTTAGTAGAGATGGGACGGGGTTTCACCATGTTGGCCAGGCTGGTCTCGAACTCCTGACCTTGCGACCTCAAGTGATCTGCCCGCCTTGGTCTCCCAAAGTGCTGAGATTACAGGTGTGAGCCACCGCACCTGGCCTAAAAGGAGGTCCTTAATACCTCTCTCACTTGACCTCCCCCTCCCCTGCCCTCTCTTTCATTGCATAGGAAAATGCTATCCCAGGAAAAGAACCCCCCTCTGAAACTGGTCATTGAAGCGGGCCTCATTCCCAGGATGGTGGAGTTCCTGAAGTCATCACTTTACCCCTGCTTGCAGTTTGAGGCTGCCTGGGCCCTGACCAACATCGCTTCAGGGACTTCGGAGCAGACTCGTGCCGTGGTAGAAGGGGGAGCCATCCAGCCCTTGATTGAGCTCCTGTCTTCCTCCAACGTGGCTGTGTGTGAACAGGCAGTGTGGGCTCTTGGTAATATAGCCGGTGAGACTCTCCCCTTAGTGGGCTAAGAAAACGGGGCCAGGTGTGTGGGATACTATAAGGTTTCTTTGGGTGGTGGGGTATACTCGATGTCCCAGAACACTTTGCCATGTAAATACCTAGAAGTGCTGGCAAGGGTACAATGAGCTGTTTCCAAACTCAAAGCCAGGCCAGGCACGGTGGCTCACGTCTGTAATCCCAGCATGTTGGGAGGCCAAGGCGGACGGATCACTTGAGGTCAGGAGTTCAAGACCAGCCTGGCCAACATGGTGAAACCCCGTCTCTACTAAATATACAAAAATTAGCCAGGCATGGTGGTGCATGCCCTGTAGTCCCAGCTACTCGGGAGGCTGAGGCAGGAGAATCGCTTGAACCTGGGAGGAGGAAGTTGCAGTGAACCAAGATAACGCCACTGTACTCCAGTGTGGGCAACAGAGGGAGATTCTGTCTCAAAACACCAAAAGCCCTCAAATCCAAGTTTAGAGGCCAAATATTGAAGCTGAAACAGGATGATACAGTGTATACTGAAGCCACAGGCTAACTAGAGACATCTGCCAACACTAAGGTCCTACAGCCTCAGGGCTTCGTGGCTTCAAGAACAAGTCTTTGGCTTATGCAGTGTGGGAGTTTATGATAGACCCTTACATAACTCGGGACCCCAGAAGGACTCTGCCTTCAGTGGAAGTTGCTAAGGGAACGTGCCAAAAACAAAAACAAAACAACAACAACAAAAAAAAACTCCTTGGTTTGGGCTAACAAGCCTTCCCTGAAAGTGGAATCCTCAGACTACCTTTCTGAATGTGGCAATCGATGCTCTTTCCTGCATGGTCTAGTGAATTAGTGCTGTAGGGTCGGAAGCCCCCAGATTCTTGGCTGACATCAATCCAGTGACTTTCTAGGGAAAACTCAATTAGGTCCCTCAGGATTTTGACAAATTAAGATCAGCCGACTATTAGCATTTTCAAGTTCAGAGAAGCAATAACTCCCGTGACTGAGTCAGCAGAAACAGTATGATTAGACCTCCAAGGACTCCACATATTGGAATTAGCAAACAGAATATAAAATAACTGCTAAAAGAAAACAAAAGCTTGCAGAGGCTTGGCGTAGTGACTCATGCCTTTAATCTCAGCACTTTAGGAGGCAGAGGTGGGAGGATGGCTTGAGCCCAGGAGTTTGAGACCAGCCTGGGCAATGTAGTGAGAACTTATCTCTACAAAAAATAAAAATATTCACCAGGCATAGTGGTGTATGCCTATAGTCCCAGCTACTCAGGAGGCTACGGTGGGACAATTGCTTGAGTTCTGGAGGTCGAGGCTGCAGTGAGCTATGATTGCACCACTGCACTCCAGCCAGGGCAATAGAGTGAGATCCTGTATCCCCCTCCCCCGCCAAAAAAAAAAAATAAAAGGCTGCAGGAGGAAAAAGTGCCTATTAGAGAAGTTGTCTCTCATTTTGCTTGGTGCAGTAAAGTAGGCAAGACTGGATGGTACAATGTGATGACTTGCCTTTGATGGTTGACAAATACAAATAGACTTCTAGGGTCTAAAATTGTTATCCTAGCTAAGGTAGCTGATGGCTGGTCACCAGCACCTGCAGATCCCCAGACTTTGTTCTGAGTTGCATTGGAAGTTACTGCCCTGTGCCAAGGTCTTCTGGGAAGACAACTTGGTCTGGACCAGCCTTCGTCTTCCTGAGAACCATGCTGTGAGATGCCAACAGCCCACCTTGGCTGAGTTGGCTGGCTCTGCTTCTAGCAGTTGCTGCTGTGTGATGCCTGCCTGTTACATCAGGACTGTCCACCCACCAGCCATGCCAGACTTCCAGAATTTAGTACGTGGCTCTACTACCTACTTGCTAAACCCGGGAATGAGTTTTTGTCTCTTGCCCTTTGCACACTCTTAAAAAATTAGTCACCCACTTCAGGATTGTCTTTGTTCTCTCTCTAAATGTCACATTCTGCTCTATTTGTAGGTGATGGCCCAGAGTTCAGAGATAACGTCATCACAAGCAATGCCATCCCACATCTCCTAGCCTTGATTTCACCCACCCTGCCGGTAAGTGTCTTTTTCTTTCTCTTTTTTTTTTTTTAAATTAAAATTTTAAAATAATCTTAATAGAGATGGAGCCTCACCATTCTGCCCAGGCTGGTCTTGAACTCCTGGCTTCAAGCAATCCTCCTACCTCTCAAAGTTCTGGGATTATGGACGTGAGCCACAGTACCAGGCCAAGTGGATGTCTTTAAATGAGAGAGAACCTCGTTAGGTAACAAATTCTAATGTTGGGAAATTGGGACATACTTCCAAATCCAATGCTAGATCATGTGGCTGCTGCCTGGCCTCTTAGAACCTCATAAACAAGGCTCAAGACTGGGCATGGTGGCTCATGTCTGTGATTCCAGTGCTTGCTAGGCCAAGACAGAAGGATCACTTGACACCAAGAGTTCAAAACCAGCCTGGGCAACATAGTGAGACCATGCTTCTAAAAATAAAAAAATTAGCTGAGCATGGTAGCGTACACCTGTAGTCTCAGCTACTCAGGAGGCTGAGGTGGAAGGATTGCTTGAGCCCAGGAGAGGGAGGCTGCAGAGAGCCAAGATCACACCACTGCACTCCAGCCTGGGTGACAGGTTGAGACTCTGTCTCTAAATAAACTAATAATAGCAAGGCTTAGGACTGAGTATCATTTTAGGTAAAGATTGACTCAGCTCTGTCTTTAGGGGCCAGTAGCACTGATCCTTCTCTTTGCGGCATTGGAAGAGGCCTACAAGCTTGCCATCTTGCAAAATAGATGACTGAAATCTCCATTCTAGGGTCACAGTTTAGCATATATGCCTGGTGTTCCATTATTGGAACACTAAGCCTGTGGGAGTTATTTATATCCTACTGCTCATGGTCATTACCAAGGTCTGATTTTTCACACAAAAAAATTTGCAACCTCTGGCATAAATGGGTTAATGTCTCACCAGTTCTGTTCATGGGGAACAGGCTCTTCTTTTGAGGCTTAGAGTCAAGGTTGGTTGATTTGTGGTTATTGATTGAAGAGGACTTCTGGTTTAGGAACTGGGTTCTCGATTTGCCTCAAACAAAAATGAAGAGCAGCCAGAGGACTATGTTCAAAACCTTCATCTGGGAACCGTGGCTCACACCTGTAATCCCAACAATTTGGGAAGCTGAGGCGGGTGGATCACCTGAGGTCAGGAGTTTGAGACCAGCCTGACTAATATGGCGAAATCCTATCTCTACTAAAAATACAGAAACTAGCCAGGCATGGTGGCACGTTCCTGTAGTCCCAGCTACTTGGGAGGCTGAGGCAGGAGAATTGATTGAACCTGGGAGGCGAAGGTTGCAGTGAGCCAAGGTTGCGCCACTGTGCCCCAGCCTGGGCAACAGAGCAAGACTCTGTCTCAAAACTCTTCAAGATGGGAGAAAAATCTGACATGGTTGAACCAATAAAAGACTAGCCATGACCGAGAGAGTTTAAGTAGAGAACACTTAAGATGGCAAGCAGGAAAAGGGCTTAGACATCTTCCTGCTAGCAGCAGGGAGGCTTTGGAGGATTTTGAGGCAAGGGAGTAGAGTGGTCTGATCTTTCAGAAAGGCCCTTCTGGTTGCCTGCCGTAGAATTATATAGCAGAGAGAGGCCGGATGCGGTAGCACTTTGGGAGGCCGAGGTGGGCAGATCACGAGGTCAAGAGATCAAGACCATCCTGGCCAACACGGTGAAACCCCGTCTCCTAAAATTACAAAAATTAGCTGGGTGTGGTGGCACGCACCTGTACTCCCAGCTACTCAGGAGGCTGAGGCAGGAGAATCTCTTGAACCTGGGAGGTGGAGGTTGCAGTGAGCCGAGATTGTGCCACTGTACTCCAGCCTGGTGACAGAGCAAGACTCCATCTCAAAAAAAAAAAAAAAATTGTATAGCAGAGGGAGATGGTGAAGCAGGTGGGTCTGGGACATAGCCATTCTAGACGTGAAAGGGAGACAGCAAGAAGCCAGGATGCCCCTAGGTTTCAGGTTAGATTGTTCAGATGATTGTCTTCCTAGAGAAAGGGGAAAAGTGCAGGAAAAAAAGAAATTGGAGCTTGTGTTGCAGGCATGAAGTTGAGGCGAGTTGGAGACACCATTGCAGCAGAGTCGGATTGACAGATGTACCTTGCTAGGTGACATATGTGTATATGTCACCCAGCCAGGCAAGGTCAGCTGGGGCCAGGGGTCACAAACATGACCTGGCTGGCCGCTTGCTTTGTAAATAGTTTTATCAAGCTGGGCATGGTGGCACGTGTCTGTAGTCCCAGCTACTTGGGAAGGCAAGGCGAGAGGATCGCTTGAGTTTGAGGCTGCAGTGAGCTGTGATTGCACCACTGCACTCCAGCCTGGGTGATGGAGTGAGACCCTGTCTCCCCCCAAAAAAAAAAAAAAAGTTTTACTGGCATGCAGCCACACTCATTTACATACTGTCTGGTCTACAAGGACAGTTGTTGTTGCCACAGAAGCCACAGGCTAAAAATGTTTAAGATCTGGCCCTTTACCGAAAAAGTTTTCAACCCCTGACCTAGAGTGTGAGGAGAGCCTGAGACCCAGTCCTGTGGGCTCTAAGGTTCTAAATTCAGGCAGAGCCTGCCAAAAAGACTAAGTAGAAACAGCTAATTTGGCCATAGAAAACCAGGTTTGGTGTCACAGTTGCCAAGAAGAGCTCTTTCTTTTTTTTCTGCTTTTTTTTCTGCTTTTTTTTTTTTTTGAGACAGAGTCTTGCTCTGTCACCAGGCTGGAGTGCAGTGGTGCAATCTCAGCTCACTGCAACCTCCGCCTCCTGGGTTCAAGCGATTCTTCTGCTTCAGCCTCCCGAGTAGCTGGGATTACAGGCACATGCCACCCCGCCTGGCTAATTTTTGTGTTTTTAGTAGAGACGGGGTTTCACCATCTTGGCCAGGCTGGTCTTGAACCCCTGACCTCATGATCCACCTGCCTCGGCCTCCCAAAGTGTTGGGGTTACAGGTGTGAGCCACCACGCCCAGCCGAGAGCTCCTTCAAAAAGAAAGGGCTGACTACTAACCACAGCTGAGAGGGACAGTAACTTTAGGACCAAGAAGCAGCTGCTGTGTTTGGTGACTTGGAAGGAGCTGATTCCCATCCCTAACCCCAAAGAAGGGTTAGAAACATGACTAGAATGGCCTGAAGAACAACTGGAGGCCAGGCGCTTATGTCTGTAATCCCAGCATTTTGGGAGGCCGAGGCAGGAGGATCCCTTGAGCCCAGGAGTTTGAGACCAGCCTGGGCAACATAGCAAGACTTTCCTCTACAAAAAGCATGTCTAGCCACAGCTACTCAGGAGGCAGAAGTAGGAGGATCACTTGGGCCTGGGAGGTTGAGGCTGTAGTGAGCTATGATCACGGCACTGCACTGCAGCCTGGGCAACAGAGTGAGACCCTGTCTCAACAAACAAACAAAAAACCCCAACAATTGGGAATCTGGGAGGTAGACAGTGAATATAGATGCCTCTCTGAGGGTAGACTCTGAAAGACAGAAGTGTGATGATGGCTGAAAGGGGCAGAAGGGGAGGGGCTGACAGTCCCAGGGTATGTTTCCTTACTGGTGGGAGTGATTTGGGGGCAGGGATGATTCTGGGCGGAATCTTTAAAGGCAAAAAGTAAGGGCCAGGTGTGGTGACTCAGGCCTGTCATCACTTTGGGAGGTGGAGGTAGGCAGATCACTTGAGCCCAGGAGTTGAAGTCCAGACTGGGCAACATAGCAAGACCCCTGTCTCTACTAAAACTAAAACTAATAATAAAAGGCCAAAAGGGATGGGATCCAGAGGCAGAGTAGGAAGACTGATTCTCAATTAGAAGATTAGAAATCTGGGGATGACATGCCAGTAGTGTTTTAGACCAGTGGGAAGACCAAGTAACTCCTGCTTGATCTTGTTGTCAGTGAAAAATGAAATTAGGTCATCAATCAAATGGGAAAGGACATTTTGAAAGACAAAGGAAACCTCCATCTAACATTGGAATGTGAAATACGAACCTCGTTCTGTGTCCCTAATACACATCACTGCCTAGAACACATTTCTATTTGAAGTTCAAAAGCTCTCGTTCAGTCGGGCACAATGGCTCACCCCTGTAATCCCAGCACGTTGGGAGGCTGAGGCCGGCAGATCACTTGAGGCCAGGAGTTCAAGACCAGTCTGGGCAACATGGTGAAACCCCATCTCTACTAAAAATACAAAAATTAGCTGGGCGTGTGTGGTGGCGGGCACCTGTAATCCCAGCTACTCAGGAGGCTGAGGGAGGAGAATCACTTGAATCCAGGAGGCAGAGGTTGCAGTGAGCCAAGATTGCATCACTGCACTCCAGCCTGGGTGACAGAGCAAGGCTGTCTGAAAATAATAAATAAAATTTTAAAAAGCTCTGGTTCATGCTGATCTATGGTATTGATTGGAAATGGTAAGAACACACTGCTGTTTGCATTTTCTCTCCTTTGCACCCAATGCTGGAGGCAGTCTCCTTGTTACAGATCACATTTCTGCGGAACATCACGTGGACCTTGTCGAATCTGTGCCGAAACAAGAACCCATACCCTTGCGACACTGCGGTGAAGCAGATACTGCCGGCCCTCCTTCACCTCCTGCAGCACCAGGACAGTGAGGTTCTCTCGGATGCCTGCTGGGCACTGTCCTACCTCACCGACGGCTCCAACAAGCGCATCGGCCAAGTGGTTAACACGGGGGTCCTGCCCAGGCTGGTAGTGCTCATGACCAGCTCAGAACTCAATGTCTTGGTAAATGCAATCCTGGGCCCTGTGGATTCGAGTCCTCGGGTCATAGTCACTTTAGCAGGTTCTGGGGCAAGGTTTGTCATCTGCATTTCCCTGGTCTTTGCTTTTTTTTTTTTTTTTTTTTTTTTGAGACAGAGTCTTGCTCTGTCACCCAGGCTGGAATGCAGTGGCACAATCTCAGCTCATTGCAACCTCTGCCTCCCAGGTTCAAGCGATTCTCCTATCTCAGCCTCCTGGGTAGCTGGGATTATAGATGCCAACGACCACGCCCGGCTCATTTTGTATTTTTAGTAGGGACAGGGTTTTACCATGTTGGCCAGGCTAGTCTCGAACTCCTGACCTCAGGTGATCCTCCTGCCTCGGCCTCCCAAACGACTGGGATTAGAGGTGTGAGCCACTGTGCCTGCCCATCTTTGCTACTCTGTGGCCAAAAGCTTGAATCTATTTTGATGTCAAATCCTAGTGGGTTTTTTTTTTTTTTTTTTTTTTTTTTTTTTTTTTTTAAAAAAAAAGGCCGGGCACGGTGGCTCACAGCTGTAAAAATACAAAAATACAAAAATTTATTTGTAAAACACCAAAGAATTAACTGAGTGTGATGGCGCACAGCTGTAATTCCAGCTACTCGGGAGGCTGAGGCAGGAGAATTCCTTGAACCCAGGAGGTGGAGGTTGCAGTGAGCTGAGATCGTGCCACTGCTCTCCAGCCTGGGTGACAGTGACATTCCATCTCAAAAAAAAAAAAAAAAAATTAGCTGGGTGTGGTGGTGCATACCTGTAGTCTCAGCTACTGGGGAGGCAGAGTTGGGAGAATTTATTGAGCCCAGAAGTTTGAGGATGCAGTGAGCTGTGATGGCACACTGTACTCCAGCCAGAGTGACAGTGAGACTGGGGATTAAAAAAAAAAACAACCCATTATCCTCTCCCCAGTTTGTTCTCTTAGACTAGCTCAGATATAGGCAGAAAGCAAGTAAAACCATTACTAATTGCTTTTCTAGGTTATTATTTTTTTTGTGTGTGAGACGGAGTCTCTCTGTCATCCAGGCTGGAGTGCAGTGGTACAATCTTGGCTCACTGCAACCTCCACCTCCCGACTTCAAGCAATTCTCTTGCCTCAGCCTCCTGAGTAGCTGGGATCACAGGCACCCACTACCATCACGCCCAGCTAATTTTTGTATTTTTAGTAGAGACAGGGTTTCACCAGGTTGGCCAGGCTGGTCCTGAACTCTTGACCTCAGGTGATCTGCCCACCTCAGCCTCCCAAAGTGCTGGGGTTACAGGCATGAGCCACTATGCCCTGCCGCTTTGCTATGTTATTAAACATGTCACCTACATCATATACTGCTTTGAAATGTGGGTGCATTATATTGAAGATGTCTCTATGCTGCCTGCTCTTTATTTTCTTAATATTTTACCTAATATTGCATATTCTGCAGCCTTAGTGATCATCTATTTTGAGATTAGCATAGGACTTCTCAGATGTTGAGTTGGTTTCGGGATAGTGCTAGGGGCATGGAGAGTATGAGATAAGACAAGCCATTTTTGTTGTTGTTGTTGTTGTTTTTTGACAAAGTCTCACTCTGTTGCCAAGGCCGGAGTGTGGTGATACAATCTTGGCTCCCTGCAACCTCTGTCTCCTGGGTTCAAGAAATTTTCCTGCCTCAGCCTCCCAAGTAGCTGGGACTACAGGTGTGCACCACCACACCCAGCTAATTTTTGTATTTTTAGTAGAGACGGTGTTTCCCCATGTTGGCCAGGCTGGTCTCAAACTCCTGGACTCAAGTGATCCATCCGCCTCGGCCTCCCAAAGTGGAGAAGTAAATTCTCTAAGAAGTTGCTTACCCCCGGGTTCTGGGGCCTATTTGGAGCTGCCCTGGTAAGGCCATGACTGGCCTGAAGTACACTTCTACCTCTCACTTTGGTATCAGGTAAGTAGCCTAATAGGCTAGGAAAATTCTAGAACTGTTGCTGGGCTTTACTGGGGCTGCCACTACAGTACAGAGAAATCTGAATAAAGCCATAGTCAGCTATTGTAGGAGAGTTGTTGTTTTGAGCCCAATCGTAGACCTGTCCTGGGGATCTTCTGAGCCATTATGAAGGGCTTCCCAATCACACCAGGAAATGGCATTGAGATCTCATTATCTCCAATTAAATATGCAACACGCTTGACACTGATAAATACTAATTCAGTCATTATACGATAAAGAGTATAGTCACTGGGCGCAGTAGCTCATGCCTATAATCCCAGCACTTTGGGAGGCCGAGGTAGGCAGATCACTTGAGGTCAGGAGTTCAAGACAAGCCTGGGCAACATGGTGAAACCTTGTCTCTACAAAAGATACAAAAATTAGCCAGGCATGGTGGTGCACACCTGTAATCCCAGCTTCTCAGGAGGCTGAGGCAGGAGAATTGCTTGAACCCAGGAGGCAGAGGTTGCAGTGACAACCAAAATCGTACCACTATACTCCAGTCTGGGTGACAGCAAGACCTTGTCTCAAAAAACAAACAAACAAACAAAACACTATCGTCAATTTAGCATTTGATGATGAAACTGAAAGCATATGAAAAGTCCAACAGCATTTCTCGATAAAGGTATTTCTTGGGTATTTCTGTCCCACTTGAGCCAAACAAGTGGGAAGCCAGAAAGTTCCTTTAAGTCACCTTTAAACATCCATGGGCCAGGCACAGTGGCTCATGATTGTAATCCCAGCACTTTGGAAAGCCAAGGCAGGATCACTTGAGACCAGCCTGGACAACATAGCAAGACCCCCGTCTCTACAAAAAACTTAAAAATTAGCCGGGCATGGTGGCACATCCGTATAGTCCCAGATACTTGGGAGGCTGGGGGAGGAGGATCACTTGAGCCCAAGAGTTGAAGGCTGCAGTGAGCTATGATCATGCCACTGCATTCCAGCCTGGGTAACAGTAAAGACCCTGTCTCTTTATAAATAAATAAATAAAAAATAAATTAAAAGGCCATGGATGAATTGAATAATGATCACAGATACAATTCCTGTTCACAGGCTGTCAGACAACCATCGGCTATAGCATGACAATGTTTGGGAGAGAACAGAACTTGGTGTGATTGTTGCCTTCTCCTGGGATAGACTTGAAATACTTAGACTTCTAGCCTTGCTCTTCCAGACTCCTTCTCTCCGCACCGTGGGGAACATTGTCACGGGCACAGATGAGCAGACGCAGATGGCCATTGATGCGGGTATGCTGAACGTGCTCCCCCAGCTCCTGCAACACAACAAGCCCTCCATCCAGAAGGAGGCAGCCTGGGCCCTGAGCAACGTAGCAGCGGGGCCTTGTCACCACATCCAGCAGCTGCTTGCCTACGACGTCTTGCCTCCCTTGGTGGCTCTGCTAAAAAACGTAAGTGGCGCACACAGCAACCATGGCAAAGGACTACTTTCCAATAGCCCTGGGTTGAACTCCTTCAGGAATCCAGACACAGGTGCAGAAGCAAATTGAGATCACAGCAGAGCTCTGAAACCTCAGAGTCCTAGCTTTGCCTGAAAAAAAGGAAGGGGGCGTTCCATTCTGAAGAACCCATTAAAGATTTGGAAGACGGAACAAGCATTATTCAATGACAAGGTGACCCCATGGCTCAAACATCCAGAAAGCTCTTGAGCTAGTAAATATTGGCTTATGTCTAAGCGGTGGTGAAAGAATGTGCCATCTATTCTCTCCCTACCAAAAGAGGGTGGAGCTTTTATTTTTAGGAGGAAAAACATATCATGCTATGGTGATATCATACACTGAAGGAAAGCAAAGTTAAATTGATTAAAGTGGTAATGTCAACAAAATTCAAATCTAAACATAGAAAAACAACAAAGCAGGCTGAGTGCAGTGGCTCACGACTGTAATTCCGACGTTTTGGGAGGCCCAGTCAGGTGGATAGATTGAGTTCAGGCGTTTGAGACCAGCCTGGGCAATGTGGCGAAACTCTTTCTCTACAAAAAATATACGTATACAAAAATTAGCCAGGCTTGGTGGCATATGCCTGTAGTCCCAGCATCTTGGGAGGCTAAGGTAGGAGGATCAATTGAGCCCGGGAGGTCAAGGCTGCTGTGAGCTAAGATCACACCACTGCACTGTAGCCTCTGTGACACAGTGAGACCCTGTCTCAAAAAAAAAAAAAAAAAAGGTTGTGGGCAGGCACAGTGGCTTATGTCCGTAATCCCAGCACTTTGGGAGGCCAAGGCAAGTGGATCACCTGAGATCAGGGGTTCGATACCAGCCTGGCCAACATGGTGAAACCCCATCTCTACTAAAAACACAAAAAATTAGCCAGGTGTGGTGGTGGGTGCCTGTAATCCCAGCTACTTGGGAGGCCTAAGACAGGAGAATCACTTGAACCTGGGAGGGTGGAGGTTGCAGTGAGCCACGATCATGCCACTATACTCCAGCCTGGGCAGCAAGAGTAAAACTGTCGCAAAAAAACAAAAACAAAAAAACATTATTTCTCCTGATTTGTACTCCCCTTTTGCAGGAGCAATGACTATCCTTGGCATTTTTCTTTTTGCCACCTTTAAAGGAATTAGCTATGTTTAAACCATCTATAGTCAGGAGTGGTTACCTTGGGCTGGGGGTGGGGAGGCAGGTGGAGTCTCATGGGGTTGAGGAGAAGCTACTGGCGGTGTTCCTGTTCTCAGGCTGGGTAGTGAGTTCCCAGGATGCACCAGGTATGACAAGCTAGGCAAGAGAGAAAGACCAGGTGTGTTGCCCAAATTATAGCATCTTCCAATCTGTTCAGTACTTGTGGTCCTGCACGCCTCTGTAAATCTGTACATATTCTAGTGAGAAACATCTAGTTATGAATCAAAGGACATTTATATTTCAAGTGGTATCTTTTGAACTATAACTTGCTTGGAGCCATAAGTTATTTGTTTTGTTTTGTTTTTTATGCTGAGGTCAGTTTTCCCCAACCATAAAATGGGAATAAATCCTACCCAGGAATAGAAGAATAGAAGATAAATTCCTCCTGTATCTCTGGCCAAGTGCATTTTATAAATGCAAAGGTTTATTGAGCAATTATTATTATTATTGGAGATGGAGTCTCGCTCTGTCACCCAGACTGGAGTGCAGTGGGACAATTTTGGCTCACTGCAACCTCTGCCTCCTGAGTTCAAGTGATTCTCCTTCCTCAGCCTCCTAACTGGGATTACAGGCACACGCCTCCACACCCGGCTAATTTTTTGTATTTTAATAGAGACAGGGTTTCACCATGTTGCCCAGGCTAGTCTCTAACACCTGAGCTCAGGCAATCTGCCTGCCTCAGCCTCCCAAAGTGCTGGGATTGCAGGTGTGAGCCACCGTGCCCGACCTGAACGATATTTCAATGGTCTTTCTCTGTCACCTCTGGGCTGGCTTGGTCCCTTAGGTTGTATCTGTGTACCCAGGCTTACAGCTTCTTGGCCAAAGCTTTACTAGATCAGAAAGACTAGAAATGCAGACATAGGCCACTGTCATCTAAAACCCCAAGCATAACTCCTAGTCTGTGTAGATTACCTGAATTGGTTAATGTCCGTTTCATTTTTTCCCTGTGGCCTGATGTGGGCAAATGAGCCTATCTGATCTTAGAGCTTCCCTCTAAGACCCCACCTGAGTCTCCTGCCTTCTTGGCTTTCCAAAGATGCCATCTTCTGATCAAGAACTAGAGGCAGGAGCCGGGCAGGGGGTTCATGCCTATAATCCCAACACTTTGGGAGGCCGAGATGGGAGGATCACTTGAGGTCAGGAGTTTGAGACCAGCCTGGCCAACATGGTGAAACCCTGTCTGTACTAAAAATACGAAAATTAGCTGGGTATGGTGGTGAGTGCCTGTAATCCCAGAACTTTGGGAGGCTGAGCGAGACAGGCGCATCATGAGGTCAAGAGATCGAGAACATCCTGGCCAACATGGTGAAACCTGTCTCTACTAAAAATATAAAAAATTAGCTGGGCGTGGTGGCACACACCTGTAGTCCCAGCTACTCAGGAGGCTGAGGCAGGAGAATCGCTTGAACCTGGGAGGCGGAGATTGCAGTGAGCTGAGATTGCGCCACTGCACTCCAGCCTGGGCGACAGAGTGAGGGGGGAAAGAAAGAGCTAGAGGCAGGTAGCCAAGGCATTCTATGTAAATTGTACATGCAGTCCTGGCTGTCACCAGCCTCCCTAGAAAGTGAACCAAGTTGGTGTCCTCTATTTAGGTTCTTGAGGATCTGTAGAGAATGGAAACATTCTTGTTCTGCAGGGAGAATTTAAAGTCCAGAAAGAGGCTGTCTGGATGGTGGCGAACTTTGCAACAGGGGCCACCATGGATCAGCTGATCCAGCTCGTCCACTCTGGGGTCCTGGAGCCACTGGTGAATCTGCTCACTGCCCCAGATGTTAAAATTGTTCTCATCATCCTTGATGTCATCTCTTGCATCCTCCAGGTGAGCCGTTCTGAACAGGTTGGTTTGTAAATAGCTGTCTCCAACTGGATACAAGCATTTAATGTGGCTCTTAAAATTCAAGTTGTACTTTGGGAGGCTGAGACAGGTGGATCACCTGAGGTCAGGAATTTGAGGCCAGCCTGGCCAACATAGTGAAACCCCGTCAAATTAGCCGGGAAAGGTAGTGCATGCCTGTATCCCAGCTACTTGGGAGGCTGAGGTGGGAGAATCGCTTGAAACCCAGGAGGCAGAGGTTGCAGTGAGCCAAGATAGTGCCACTGCACTCCAGCCTGGGCGACAGAGCCAGACTCCGTCTCAAAACAAAACCCAAGTTGGATTATTTCTCTTCCCCCAATACCTCTACCCTCCTCTGTCCATGTGTCCTGTGGATAAACACAAAAAGAGCCATCTCGAAGGACCATGGTCTTCGTTTTCTCAAACAAATGTCTATGTGCCAGATATTTTTTCAGATGCTCAGACTATGACAATGCAAAGTCCCTGCTGTAATGGACATTATGTATGAGGGGAGTGACAGAGAACAGACACATCAGGTAGGGAGTTATGGATAAAGTAAATCGGATAAAGGGGCAGTCACTAATAGTTCAGGGTGGGGAGTGGCTGTAGCTGTCTTTATAGAGACAGAGACAGAGAAAGACAGACGGAGAGAGAGACACAGACGGAGAGAGAGACACAGACGGAGAGAGAGACACAGACGGAGAGAGAGACACAGACGGAGAGAGAGACACAGACGGAGAGAGAGACACAGACGGAGAGAGAGACACAGACGGAGAGAGAGAGAGAGACACAGATGGAGAGAGAGACACAGACGGAGAGAGAGAGAGAGACACACACAGAGAGACACACACACAGAGAGAGAGAGACAGACGGGGAGAGAGAGACACAGACGGGGAGAGAGAGAGATGGGGAGAGAGAGAGACACAGACGGGGAGAGAGAGAGAGACACAGACGGGGAGAGAGAGATGGGGAGAGAGAGAGACACAGACGGGGAGAGAGAGAGAGACACAGACGGGGAGAGAGAGAGAGACAGACGGGGAGAGAGAGAGACACAGACGGGGAGAGAGAGAGAGACACAGACGGGGAGAGAGAGAGAGACACAGACGGGGAGAGAGAGAGAGACACGGGGAGAGAGAGAGACACAGACGGAGAGAGAGAGAGACACAGACAGAGACACAGACGGGGAGAGAGACACACACACAGATGGGGAGAGAGAGACAGAGACGGAGAGAGAGACGGGGAGAGAGAGATGGGGAGAGAGACAGAGACGGAGAGACGGAGAGATGGACAGAGACAGATGGACAGAGACAGAGACAGACGGAGACAGACGGAGACAGAGAGATAGAGACACAGAGAGAGAGAGACAGACAGAGATAGGATCTCTGCTCTGCCACCGAGGTTGGAGTGCTGTGATCCTCGCTCACTGCAGCCTTGATCTCCTGGGCTCAAGCAATCCTCCCACCTCAGCCACCTGAATCACTGGCACTACAGCCAGATGCCACCACACCTGGCCAATGTTTGTATTTTTAGTAGAGACAGGGTCTTGCTATATTGCCCAGGCTGTTCTCTAACTCCTGGGTTCAAGTCATCCTCCCGCCTCAGCCTCCCAAAGTGCTAGGATTACAGGTGTGAGCCACCATGCCTAGCCAAGAGGATTGGCTTCTGAGGAGGCTTACACGATGACCGGGAAGTCACTTGGACACATGGACCTTCTCCATTGGGCTGCCTGAGTGTCCTCACATCACGGCAGCTGGCTTCCTATGAGTAAGGGGTCTAAAAGCAAGGTGAAGGCCTCAGTGTCCTTCATGACGTGACCTTGGAGGTCACATTCTGTCACTTCCACAACATCCTATTGGTTACACAGGTCATCCCCATTCAATGTGGGTGGGGAACTACACAGGGTTTGAGCACCGGGGGTCAGGGATCATCAGGGCAGTTTTGGAGGCTAGCTAGGTTCATTTGGTTAGGGTCCTTTTAAAAAATTACTGTTTTTTGGCTGGGCATGGTGGCTTACACCTGTAATCCAGCACTTTGGGAGGCCGAGGTGTGCAGATCACCTGAGGTCAGGACTTCAAGACAAGCCTGAGCATTGTGAAACCCCATCTCTACAAAAAAATTAGCCAGGCATGGTGGCTCATGCCTGTAATCCCAGCTACTCGGGAGGCTGAGGCATGAGAATCACTTGAACCTGGGTGGTGGAGGTTGCAGTGAGCCAAGATCATGCCACTGCACTCCAGCTTGGGCAACAGAGCAAGAGTCTGTCTCTAAAAATAAATAAAAATATAAATAATATAAATATATATATATATTTTGAAACAGGATCTCACTCTGTCACCCAGGCTAGAATGCAGTGTTGTGATCTCAGCTCACTGCAGCCTCAACTTCCTAGGCTCAGGTGATCCTCCCACCTCAGCCTTCCAAGTAGATGGGATTACAGGCTTGTGCTACCACACCCAGCTAATTTTTGTATTTTAGCAGAGACAGGGTCTTGCTATGTTGCCTACACTGGTCTCAAAGTCCTGGGCTCAAGTGATCCTCTCACCTCGGCCTCCCAAAGTGCTGGGATTACAGGAATGGGCCACTGTGTCCAGCTTAGCTAAGGTTCTTTTATAGGTGACAAAACCATCTGAAAATCTTCAAAGTAACACCAAGGAGCTCCTTTTAGAAGTCCACTTTAAGCATCTTTTTAATGTAATTTTCTTGAATGATCTGAGTCAAGACTAGATTAGAAACTCAACCCCATGATACCCTGAAACTTGAGCAAAAGACACAGATAAAGAATAGATATTTGGGCCAAGTGCATTGGCTCATGCTTGTAATCCCAGCACTTTGGGAGGCTGAGGTGAGAGGACCACCTGAGGTTAGGAGTTCAAGACCAGCCTGGCCAACATGGTGAAACCCCATCTCTACAAAAATACAAAAAAGCCTGGCATGGCATGTACCTGTAGTTTCAGCAACTTGGGAAACTGAGGCAGGAGAATCTCTTGAACCTGGGAGGTGGGGAGAGTAGTGAGCCAAGATTACGCCACTGCACTCCAGCCTGGGCGATAGAGCGAGACTCTTTTTTTTTTTTTTTTTTTTTTTTTTTTTTTTTTTGAGACAAAGATATTTGGGCCAAATGCAGTGGCTCATACCTGTAATCCCAGCACTTTGGGAGGCCAAGGCAGGAAGATTGCTTGAGGCCAGGAGTTGGAGACTAATCTGGGTAATGCAGCAAGATCTTGTCTCTACACAAAATGTTAACAAAATTGTGATACCTTCTGAGTCTTCCCTGTGTATCTTCTTTATTAATTTTTTTTTGAGACTGAGTCTTATGCTGTCATCCAGGCTGGAGTGCAGTGGCGCAATGTCAGATCACTGCAACCTCTGCCTCCTGGTTCAAGCAATTCTTGTGCCTCAGCCTCCTGAGTAGCTGGAATTACAGGCACCTGCCACCACGCCCAACTAATTTTTGTATTTTTAGTAGAGACGAGGTTTCACCATGTTGGCCAGGCTGGTCTCAGACTCCTGACCTCAAGTGATCTGCCTGCCTCAGCCTCCCAAAGTGTTGGATTACAGGCATGAGACACTGCGCCCGGCCCTATATTTATGATATATGTCTATATATCGTGGATACCTAAAGTGGGAGGAAGATCATGTAATTTTCAACCAATTTGGGAAAAGTGAAATTGCAACTATCCATTCTGGAATGGTAGCCTTTGGTCTGCTTCCACTCGGGGCAGCTCCCTTGAGGGCTGACAGAGTCCCTATCCCCCAAAGGCTCCTGCCGGGGGTCTCATGTCCCCTTGTACTTGGTCACAGGCGGCAGAGAAACGGTCTGAGAAGGAAAACCTGTGTCTTCTGATAGAAGAACTTGGTGGGATCGATAGAATTGAGGCTTTACAGCTGCATGAGAACCGTCAAATTGGCCAGTCGGCTTTGAACATCATCGAGAAGCACTTTGGTGAGGTAAGTGACTTAGGAGCGTGGAGGAGTATCCAGGGGTCTTGGTGGGGCAGCTCTGCAGAGGGTCACCCTGCCGGGGCCTGGGCTGTTGCGTGTGGCAGGTGACTGGGCAGGTGGTCTTCACTCCTGCCACATCCTCTGAAGTTAATGTGTCTCGCCTATCCCTGCTGTATCGGGTCATCTTTGAGTAGTGACATCTTGGTGCCTGGAAGCTATTCTAATTCCTTGGGAGCTTGTCTGGCTGCCTCTGGCTTAAAACTTCACTTTACTGGTCTCCTTTTTGGGAGAGGTATGGCAGGGGAGAGGATTTGATGCTGAAGTGACTTTTTTTTTTTTTTTTTTTTTTTTTTGAGATGGTTTCACTCTGTTGCCCAGGCTGGAGGACAGAGGCGCCATCTCAGCTCACTGCAACTTCTGCCTTCCAGATTCAGTTGATTCTTGAGCCTCATTGACCCGAGAAGCTGGGATTAGAGAGATGTACTACGACGCCCAGCTAATCTTTAGTAGAGACAGGGTTTCCCTGTGTTAGCCAGGCTGGTCTCAAACTCCTGGCCTCAAGTGATCCACCCGCCTTGGCGTAATCCCAAAGTGCTGGGATCACAGGCGTGAGCCACCACACCCGGCCCGTCTCCACAACAGTTTTTATCTTCCCAAACTGAAACTCCCTACCCGTTAACTACAAAGTCCCCAACACACCTTTCCCCTAGCCCTTTTAGTAACCATCATTTTGCTTTCTGTCTCTATGAATTTGACTATTCTAGGGACCTCATGAGTGGAATTGTACAGTATTTGTCCTTTTGTGACTGATATATTTCCTCTTGGCATACCATCTTCAAGATTCATCCGTGTTGTAGCATGTCAGGATTGCTTTCCTTTTTAAGGCTAACACTCCATTGAATGTATATGCTGCATTATATATATTCATTTACCTGTCAATCGACATGTGAGTTTCTTCTACCATTTTGCTATGGTGAATACACTGCTATGAACATGGGTGTGTAAGCCTGTTAGAGTCCCTGCTTCCAATTTTTTTTTGTTTGTAAAGACAGGGTCCTGCTCTGTCACCCAGGCTGGAAGGCAATGGCCGCAATGGTTGCTCACTGTAGCCTTGACTTCCCTGGGCTCAAGCAATCCTCCCACCTCAGGCTCCCAAGTAGCTGGGACTACAGGCATGCACCACCATGCCGGCAGCTAACTTTTGTATTTTTTTTGTAGAGATGGGGTTTCACCATGTTGCCTAGGTTGGTCTAAAACTCCTGAGCTCAAGCAAGCCACCCGTCTCGGCCTCCCAAAGTGCCGGAATTACAGGTCTGTGCCACCGCACCTGGCCCAATTCTTTGGAGTATATACCTAGAGTGGAATTGCTAGATTACGTGGTAATTCCATTTTGAATTTTTGAAGAACTACCACGCTCTTTTCCACAGTAGATATACCATTTCACATCCCTACCAACAATGCATGAGGATTCCAATTTCTCCACACCCTTGCCGACACTTGTTATTTTCTAGGTGTTTTGGTAATAGCTAATCTCATGGGTATAAAGTGGTATCTCATTGTGGTTTGATTTGCACTTATATCAGAAATTTTTCTTTTCTTTCTTTCTTTCTTTCTTTTTTTTTTTTTTTGAGACGTAGTCTCGCTCAGCTGCCCAGGCTGGAGTGCAGTGGCGCGATCTTGGCTCACTGCAACCTCCACCTCCTGGGTTCACGTCATTCTCCTGCCTCAGCCTCCCAAGTAGCTGGGATTACAGGCGCCCACCACCATGTCCGGCTAATTTTTTGTACTTTTAGTAGAGACGGGGTTTCACCGTGTTAGCCAGGATGGTCTTGATCTCCTGACCTCGTGATCCGCCTGCCTCGGGCCTCCCAAAGTGCTGGGATTACAGGCGTGAGCCACCACGCCCAGCAGAAATTTTTCATATGAGGAAGGCAACCTCACATTTATTTCATGACCAGATCAACATGGGGCTAGGAGTTTACAGAGTGACACTTCTCTTAGGTGTCAAAGGTGACTTACCAGCAAAATAAAGGACCATACAATCAATATGACCAGGTGGATGGTGTGGTTAGCTGGGGCAGTTAGTCTTGATTTGGGACCAAGATGATGCTCTCGGCTGGGAGCAGTGGTTCATGTCTGTAATCTCAGCACTTTGGGAGGCTGAGGCAGATGGATCACGAGGTTAGGAGTTCAAGACCAGCCTGGCCAACATGGCGAAACCCTGTCTCTACTAAAAATACAAAATTAGTTGGGTGTGGTGGTTTGTGCCCGTAATCCCAGCTACTCAGGAGGCTGAGGCAGGAGAATAGCTTGAACCCCAGAGCAGAGGTTGCAGTGAGCCAAGATGGTGCCACTGTATTCCAGCCTGGGCAACAGAGCAAAACTCCATCTCCAAAATAAATAATAAATAAATAAATAAATAAATAAATAAATAAATAAAGCTCTCAAGCCAGGTGTGGTAGCTCATGCCTATAATTGCAGCACTTTGGGAAGCTAAGACAGGTGGATTGCTTGAGTCCAGGAGCTCCGAGACCAGCCTGGGCAACACAGTGAGAGCCCATATCTACAAAAAATACAAAAATTAGCCAGGTGTAATGGCATGTGCCTGTAATCCCAGTTACTCGGGAGGCTACAGTGGGAGGATTGCTTGAGTTGTGATTGTGCCACTGCTCTCCAACCTGGGCAATAGCACGAGACTGTCTTAAAATAGAAAAAAAATGCTCTCAAAGGAGACCAGACCTAGAATGGTGATAATGGTGATAAGCATTTTCCAGGTTAATGGTTCCTATGAAAACCTCATAAATAAGAAGCTCAGCTGGGTGCAGTGGCTCACACCTGTAATCCCAGCACTTTGGGGGAGGCCAAGGCGGGTGGATCACCTGAGGTCAGGAGTTCGAGACCAGCCTGGCCAACATGGTGAAACTCCATCTCTACTAAAAATACAAAAATTAGCTGGGTGTGGTGACGGGTGCTCATAATCCCAGCTACTCAGGAGGCTGAGGCAGCAGAATCACTTGAACCCAGAAAGCAGAGGTTGTAGTGAGCTGCAATCATGCCACTGTACTCCAGCCTGGGCGACAGAGTAAGACTCCATCTCAAAAAAAAAAAATAATAAATAAGAGACCTCTTTTAAAGGGGGTTTGATCCCTGGGGCTTGATCCAAGAACTCCAGGGTAAAGATTTCTGGACTAGAAGTAGTAACTATACCTATCATTTGCTTACTCATTGTCAGGACGGTGTTCTATGTCTATCAAAACTGCATTTAAAAACAAGCTACTCACAAAAGGACAAATACAATGCGATTCCACTTAGATTTGGTACCTGCAGTCATCAAATCTGTAGAGACAAAGTAGAATGGTGGTTGCCAGGTGCTGGGTGGAGGAGGGAATGAGGAGTGATTAAATACAGTGATCCCAACGTTTTTGACACTAGGGACCAGTTTTTGTGAAAGACAAATTTTCCACAGGCTGGGGGGTGAGGGGATGGTTTCGGGATGATTCAAGAGCATTACATTTATTGTGCACTTTATATTACTACATGGTAATATATAATGAAATAATTATACAGCTCATCGTAATGCAGAATCAGTGGGAACCCTGAGATCTTTTCCTGCAACTAGACGATCCCATCTGGGGGTGATGGGAGACAGTTGACAGATCATCAGGCACTAGATTCTCATAAGGAGCATGCAGCCTGGTTCCCTGGCATGCGCAGTTCACAATAGGGTTTGTGCTGCTATGAGAATCTAATGCTGCTGCTGGTCTGACAGGGAGGCAGAGCTCAGGTGGGAATGCGAGTGATGGGGAGTGGCTGTAAATACAGATGAAGCTTCGCTTGCTGGCCTGCTGCTCACCTTCTGCTGTGTGGCCCAGTTCCTAATAGGCCACGGATGCGGGGTTGGGGACCCCTGATGCAATAGGTACAAAGCTTCAGTTGTGCAAGATGAAAAAGTTCTAGAGGTGGGTGGTGGTGATGGTTGCGCAACAATGCGAATGTACTTAATTGCTACTAAGCTACCTGCTTAAACATGGTTAAGAGGGTCAATTTTGTTACAAGGTGCATCTTGCCAAATGTGCAGTGATAATGTGCTGAGAATCCTGGAGGTATAACAGTGTCTATTCTCTCCTGAAGGAAGAAGATGAGAGCCAAACTTTACTGAGCCAAGTCATAGACCAAGATTATGAATTTATAGATTATGAATGCTTAGCAAAAAAATAGCCAAGCTCCCTACCTCCTAAACCAACAACCCAGTGCTAAAGGATAACTTCTTTAAGAAGCAGCAGTCCTCTATCTTAGTGTAACCCAAATGTGAAGCTTTTAAAACTTGACATTAATAAAATGTTCAACACTTTCACGTTTCTCTATCTGAACTTCAGATAAACGACTTGCATCTTAAAACCATGTGGAATTCATCTCCTAAGAACATTTGTTTAGGCTGGGTGTGGTGGCTCACACCTGTAATCCCAGCACTTTGGGAGGCCAAGGTGGGTGGATCACCTGAGGTCAGGAGTTTGAGACCAGCCTGGCCAACACAGTGAAACTCCGTCTCTATTAAAAATACAAAAAATTAGCCAGGCATGGTGACGCATGCCTGTAATTCCAGCTATTTGGGAGGCTGAGGCAGGAAAATTGCTTGAACCCAGGAGGGCGGAGGTTGCAGTGAACTGAGATGGAGCCATTGTACTCCAGCCTGGGCAACAAGAGTGAAACTCCTTCTCAAAAAAAATAATAAAAAATAAAGAACATTTGTTTAGTAATTGCCTTTTAAAAGGTCTTAAAGCAAAACCTTCAAGACAGAGTAGAATGGTCTTATAGTTATCCGGACAGACTTTTTCTTTTTCTTTTTTTTTTTTTTTTTTTTTTGAGATGGAGTTTCGGTCTTGTCACCCAGGCTGGAGTGCAGTGATGTGATCTAGGCTCACTGCAACCTCCGTCTCCCAGGTTCCAGTGATTTTCCTGCCTCTCCTGCCAAATAGCTGGGACTATAGGTGCCTGCCACCATGCTGGGCTAATTTCTGTATTTTTGGTAGAGACAGGGTTTCACCATGTTGACCAGGCTGGTCTCAAACTCATGACCTCAGGTGATCCACATGTCTCAGCCTCCTAAAGTGCTGGGATTACAGGCGTGAGCCAACATGCCTGGTCTCTACACAGACTTCGACTTGCAGATACAATATCATTGGTTCTTAGTGCTGCAGGGACAGTGTTACTGGCCTTCTTTCCTCTGGCAATTAATATCCTGACACTGACAAGATCTAAGATAATTTTCTCTAGAAACTCAATCTCTCTTATTCTTCCTAGAAAGAAAGAGAGTGCGTGTGTGTTTCTATATTTCAAGGCAGCACCACCACATGCAGCTAACCTTTTAAAGAATTCTGTAGAGATGGGGTCTTACTATGGTCAGGTTAGTCTTGAACTCCTGGCCTCAAATGGTCCTCCCACTTCAGCCTCCCAAAGTGCTGGGATTACAGACATAAGCAACCGCACCTGGCCTACATATTATTTTTGAACCATGACTTTCTTGTATACTTAATTTTTATAACTTAAATGAACTTTGATACAATGTACATATTTTACAGAGCTATAGATATTTAAAGCAAAGGAGGACCCATGCCTCTTCCACCCCATCCCCAGAGGCCAGAACTTTCTACTCTTTGGTCTGTTTATTCTAGTCTATGCTTTTGTAATTCTAAACATTATGCTCATGCTACATCTAAAGACGATGTTCGAATTTACAGAAGAGATAGCCATTTTTTTATACCTCCCTTTCTTCGCATCGTAGATATCTAATTTTTGTTAGCTTGATGTCCAGATTTTATCATAATGATGTAAATTATATTCAGAAGTGTGTTTTCCTTAGTATTAATCCACATCTTCACTCATATGCTTTGTTTTCCTTGGGTTTACCTCATATCAAATTCTTACAGCCTGTGTAAACCTCCTGCTGAATGTAATACGTCAGTAATCTACCAACATGCTTGTCATCCACACCCACTGGAGAGCTCTGTCATGCTCCAGCCTGGAATAGTTGTCCTCATCCTCTGGTACACGTCTATTGTCCTGGGATCGGCTTTTACCATCATTGTGGGGGCTCCACTCACTTTTCCTGGGTCAGTGTCCCTGTTTGCAGGATCTCACACCTGCCTGTGCTTGTTTTCCCCTTTATTTTAGGGACAAGGTCTTACTCTGTCGCCCAGGCTGGAGTGCAGTGGAACCATCACAGCTCAGCTCAGGGCAGCCTTGCTAAAGCAATCCTCCCGCCTCAGCCTCTTGAGTAGCTGGGTCTACAGATGTGTGCCACTATGCCCAGCTAATTGTTTAATTAATTTGGCTTTTAAAATTTTAATTAATTTGGCTTTGGGAAGCCAAGGCGAGAGGATTGCTTGAGCCAGGGAGTTGGAGGCTGCAGTGAGCTATGATGGTGCCACTGCACTCCAGCCTGGGCTATGAAGTGAGACCCCATCTCCAAAACAAACGATCGCATGAGGAGGTAGGCATGGGATCCAGGAAACAGGGAAGCTGACCTTGAATTCCTGGGATCAAGCGATCCTGCTGCCTTGGCTTCTCAAAGTGTTGGGATTACAGGCGTGAGCCACTGAGACCCACTGGCTTTTAATATGTATCTTCTGAGAGAAGGTGCATGGGAGGTTAAATTTCAGACACTGCTCATCCAAAAACATGTACTTTATTTTTTATTTTTATTTTTGAGACAGAGTCTTGCTCTGTTACCCAGACTGGAGTGCAGTGGCACGATCTTGGCTCACTGCAACCTCCACCTCCCGGGTTCAAGCGATTCTCCTGCCTCAGCCTCCCGAGTAGCTGGGATCACGGGCGCCCGCGAACACGCCCAGCTAATTTTTGTATTTTTTTTATTAGTAGAGACGGGGTTTCACCATGTTGAACAGGCTAGTCTTGAACTCCTGACCTCAGTGGGATTGCAGGTGTGAGCCACCGCACCTGGCCTTTGAAAACATGGACTTTGTTTTGACTCCTGGTTGACAATCCAGCTGCAGACAAGTGTTCTAGACTGGAAACTATGACCTTCAGAATGTTGCAAGCATCGATCATTATCTTCTAGTTTTCAGTGTTGGGTTCAAAGTCTTCTACTCTGATTGCCAATTATTTTGTGCATGACTCTCTTCCCCTGTCTCAACTCTACTGACTGAAATTTGTAGGTTGTGTCTCCAGTATTCTTAAATGTGCTGTCCTGAATAGAAACCTATTTTCTGTACATCCAAGTATCAGCCTTGCAGTCTAGAATTGTCCTTTTAATTTTTAAAAAACAGCTTGGAACAGTGGCTCACGCCTATAATTCCAGCACTTTGGGAGGCTGAGGTGGGAGGACCCCTTGAGTCCAGGAGTTTGAGACCAGCCTGGGCAACATAGCAAGACCCCATCTCTAAAAAGAAAAAGAAAAAAATAGAATTATCTCCCCTGCCACCACCATTTTTTTTTCCCACTGAAACGGATCCTCTCATTTTCTTGTCCCATTCTCTATTTTCCATCTTTATTTTTTACTTTCTGGGGTATTCTACTTTATCTCTTCTTCCAGGCTTTTCATTTCTGCAGTCACTTAATTCGAGACACTTTGTTTTCACAGGCTTCCCTTTTCAAGCCTCCTTCTTCATTAGCGCAAGATCCTATCTGTGCTATCGACCTAGCTTTGTTTATGCATTGATTCTTGGGGGGGTGTTTGTTGTTAGTTTGGTGTGCCTATGGCAAAGGCTTCCATCAGATGTCTGATGTCCTTGGATCTCTGCTTGTAATAGAAAGGTCCTCAGGCTGTGAGCGGGGCCTGTCATTGGTGGATATCTGCTGGGTGACCCCACAGAAACCTGGCCATTCCAACAAGTGATCCCAACGATCAGAGCTGCAGATTTTTTTTTGAGACAGTCTTGTTCTGTCACCCAGGCTGGAGTACAGTGGCACAATCTCTGCTCACTGCAACCTCCGCCTCCTG
Source organism: Homo sapiens (assembly GCF_000001405.40). NCBI lineage: Eukaryota > Metazoa > Chordata > Mammalia > Primates > Hominidae > Homo > Homo sapiens. The sequence goes on along the minus strand of NW_017852929.1, from coordinate 77,594 downwards.
GGTTCAAGTGACTTCTCCTGCCTCAGCCTCCCAAGTAGCTGGGATTACAGGTACAAGCCACCATGCCCGGCTAATTTTTGTATTTTTAGTAGAGACAGGGTTTCACCATGTTGACCAGGATGGTCTTGAATCCCTGACCTGAAGTGATCCGCCCACCTCGGCCTCCCAAAGTGCTGGGATTACAGGCGTGAGCCACTGCGCCTGGCCCAGAGCTGCAGATCTTTTTTCATGGGCTGGTTAGTTTTCCTAAAGAGGAGTCCTTCAACCATTCATTTGTGAGACTTATGCTTCCCTCCTTCCATTCTCTGGGCAGGGCACAGGAACAAGGTCAGGTTATTTATCTATTTTTGAGATGGAATCATGCTCTGTCGCCCAGGCTGGAGTGCAGTGGTGCAATCTCAGCTCACTGCAACCTCCATTCCCAGGTTCAAGCGATTCTCCTGTCGGCCTCCTGAGTGGCTGAGATTACAGGCGTGCCCCACCATGCCTGGCTAATTTTTGTATTTTTAGTACAGATAGGGTTTCACCATGTTGGCCAGGCTGGTCTTGAACTCCTGACCTCAAGTGATCTGCCCACCTCGGCCTCCCAAAGTGTTGGGATTACAGGCGTGAGCCACTGTACCCAGCCAAGGTCAGGTTGTTCAGTAAGCAAAATACTCATTTTTCTCAGTTTTGCTCCCTCAGATGCTGTCCTCCCCAAGTCCAGAGTCCTTACACCTACCTTCTCAGGGACCTGCCAAGCTTTCAGCCTGGGGGCTAAAATTCCAATAAAATTGTTTCAGTTTACATTATTTTAAAAAATTATTTATTTGAGACAGGGAGTCTCTCTGTCGCCAGGCTGGAGTGAAGTGGCGCGATCTCAGCTCACTGCAACCGCCGCCTCCCGGGTAGCTAGGATTACAGGCGTGTGCCACCACGGCCAGGTAATTTTTGTATTTTTGGTAGAGATGGGGTTTCACCATGTTGGCCAGGATGGTCTCAATCTCTTGACCTTGTGATCCACCCACCTTGGCTTGGCCTCCAAAGTGCTGGGATTACAGGTGTGAGCCACCGTGGTTACATTAATGGAGAGTTCAGGATTGGAAGGAAACTAATGTCAAGGGCTAGATGTACTTTAAAGTTCTTTGAAGTGGGTGGCGGTGCCTCCATGTCAAAGGTAAGGAAACACAGCCGGGTGTAGTGGTGTGCACCTGTGGTCCCAGCTACTCAGGAGACCGAGGTGGAAGAATCGTTTGAGGCCAGGAGTTTGAGACCAGCCTAGGCATCATAGCAAGATCCCATCTCTACAAATTTAAAAAAATTAGCTGGATGGGGCAGTCCCTAGCTGCTTGGGAGCCTGAGGTGGGAGGATCACTTGAGCCCAGGAGGTTGAGGCAGCTGTGAGCCATGATCCTGCCACCACACCCCAGCCTGGGGGACAGAGCCAGACCCTATCTCTTAAAAAAGAAAAAATAAGGAAACAAGTCCCAAAGCGGTAAAGATGAACACCAAGTAAGAGCAGGGCCAGGATTTACCCTTCTGGTCTGGAAGCACATGTTTTGTGTATGTGGGAGGGGAGGGGGGTTTTGCTCTGTTGGGGATACTAACCCCCCTATTCCCACATCCCTCAGAGTGCTGGCTATGGCCACTTGTCTGAGAACCATCCAACAACATGGCAAAAATGCAGAATTCTTGCACTTCAAACAGACTCTGGGGGGTAGGACCTAAGTATCAATGTGTTTAACCAGCTTCCCAGGGGCATTTGAGAGGCAAATGCTAAAGCAGATGAAGTTCCTGCCCTCAAGAGGTTTAGATTCTAGTTAGGGAAACAGACAATAAACCAATGTAAGGTAAGTCAAGTTCCAGGAAGAAAAAGCAGGATAAGAAAACATGCCAAGAGTGTTGTTTTAGACTTGGTGCCAAGGCAGTGGTTCCCTTTTGGACACCACGGACTGGTTTTGTGGAAGGCAATTTTTCTACGGATAGAGGGGTGTGGGGGTGGGGGAATGGTTTGGGGATAATTCAAGCACATTCCACTTATTGTGTACTTTATTATCACATTGTAATGGATAATGAAACAATTCTATAACTCACCATCATGTAGAATCAGTGGGAGCCCTGAGCTTGTTTTCCTGCAACTAGGTGGTCCCATCTGGAGGTGATGGGAGATAGTGACAGATCATCAGGCATTAGATTCTCATAAGGAGGCCAGGCACAGTGGCTCATGACTGTAATCCTAGCACTTTGGGAGGCCAAGGTGGGCGGATCACCTGAGGTCAGGAATTCGAGACCAGCCTGGCCAACATGGTGAAACCCTGTCTCTACTAAAAATGCAAAAAAAAAAAAAAAAAAAAAAAAAAAAAAAAAAAAAAAGTTGGGTGTGATGGCATCAGCTTGTAGTCCCAGCTACTTAGGCTGAGGCAGGAGAATTGCTTGAACCCGGGAGGTGGAGGTTGCAGTGAGCCAAGGTTGCGCCAGTATACTCCAGCTTTTTTTGACCCTATCTGAAAAATTCTGAGGAGTATGCAGTCTAGATCCCTTGCATGTACAGTTCACAATAGGGTTCTCTCTCCTATGGGAATCTAATGCTGCCACTGATCTGACAGGAGGCGGAGCTCAGCTTCGCTCACCTGCTGCTCACCTCCTGCTGGGTGGCCCGGTTCCTATCAGGCTACGGACTGGTCTAGGGATTAGAGACTGCTGTGCTAAGGCAAGGCTGGCCCTGAAGGAGGTGAAGAAGGTAGTCTGGTAGATCTCCGGGAAAGGCATCCCAGGCAGAGGAGACAGTGGGGCCAGGGCACAGAGGTGGGAGCTGGCTCCAGGTGTGTGAACAGCAGGCTCCGTGGCTGGAGCGAGGTGGAGTTGGGGTATGAGAGGCTGAGGTTGGAGAGCGTCATATCAGGGAGCCTTGTAAGCTTAGATGCAGACTTTGAATTTTATTCTAAATATTATGGGAATCTCCCAAACACATGTGACATTTGGTCCCCTTCACTTTTCATATAACACCTGTGAATGCAGAACATTCTTCAGAAAAAGCTGTGTGGGCAGTGGTCAAAAGGGGAGTAACTAGACTGGGCATGGTGGCTTACGCCTGTAATCCCAGCACTTTGGGAGGTCGAGGTGGTGGATCACGAGGTCAGGAGTTTGAGACCAGCCTGGCCGACATGGTGAAACCTTGTCTCTACTAAAGATACAAAAAATTAGCTGGGCGTGGTGGCACATGCCTGTAATCCCAGCTACTTGGGAGGGTGAGGTAGGAGAATCACTTGAACCTGGGAGGCAGACCTTGCAGTCAGCCAAGATTATGCCATTGCACTCCAGCCTGGGCAACAGGGTGAAACTTCATCTCAAAAAAAATAAATAAAATAGAAAGGCCGGGCACGGTGGCTCACACCTGTAATCCCAGCAGTTTGGGAGCCTGAGGCAGGTGGATCACTTAAGGTCAGGAGCTCCAGACCAGCCTGGCCAACATGGTGAAACCCCATCTCTACTAAAAATACAAAAATTAGCTGAGCATGGTGGTGCACACCTGTAATCCCAGCTACTCAGGAGGCTAATGCTGGAAAATCACTTGAACGTGGGGGGCAGGGTTGCAGCAAGCCGGGATCACGTCACTGCACTGCAGCCTGGATGACGGAGACCATCTCAAAAAAAGTAACGAGGAAGGAAAGGACCTAGAAACATAGTAGGTGCTAGGCAGTGTGGTCATGGATAGGAGATGTTGAAAGAGGGATTAAACTGGGCATGCTGATGTGTACCTGTAATCCCAGTGTATTAGTCTGTTTTGGCATTGCTATAAATAAATACCTGAGTCTGGGTGGTTTATAAAGAAAAGATGTTTAATTGGCTCATGATTCTGTAGGCTGCACAGGAAGCATGGCTGGGAAGGCCTCAGGAAATTTTCAATCATGGCAGAAGGTGAAGGGGAGGCAGGCACGTCTTACATGGCCAGAGCAGAAGGAAGAGAGAGAAGGGGGAGGTGCTGCACACTTTTAAACAACCAGATCTCATGAGAACCCACTATGACAAGAACAGCAAGGGGGAAATCTGCCTCCATGATCCAATCACCTCCTACCAGGCCCCACCCCCAACGTTGGGGATTACTATTTGACATGAGATTTGGTCAGAGACACAAATCGAAACCCTATCACCCAGTTACCTGAGAAGCTGAAGCTGGAGGATCCCTTGAGCCCAGGAGTTCAAGTCCAGCCTGGACAACATAGCAAGACTCTGTCTCAAAGGGATTGGGCTTGATCTGTACAAGTTGAGTGTAGAGATTAAGCTAAATTTTGGCTCAGAAGTGTCACACCAAAACATCATGCCCAAAGCAGGTCTTTGGTGGCCTTTGATAAATGAAGAGAAACGGTGTTTGGGTGTTAGTCTAAAATACTGCTGGAAGACAGTTCACCTGCACCAACTTCTCATTTAGTGATGACAGCAAGTCTATGATTTAGTGGACATTGGGGCCTGCAATCAGTATCTTCATCTCCTTCTGCAGTGATTATCTGTCCACTGCTGAGAGCTATGCTGAGGGTGGGGTGCTCCTCGAGGGGCTGTGCCATCCCATATGGAGATGGGGGCAACTGGGAGACTCTGTACCCTCTTTCCTCCTCAGCTCAGGATGCCCTAGGTGGCAGATCTTTGGCCAAGCATACTCTTTCTCTGAGCCTTTTTTTTTTTTTTTAAAAAGGCAAGGCCTCGCTCTGTCGCCCAAGCTGGAGTGCAGTGGCTGTGAGTAGGGCCTGTCATTGGTAGACATCTGCTAGGTGACTGCACAGGAACCCGGCCATTCCAACAAGTGATCCCAATGATCAGAGCTGCAGATTTTATTTTATTTTTATTTTTTGAGACAAAGTCGTGTTCTGTCGCCCAGGCTGGAGTGCAGTGGCATGATCTCGGCTCACTGCAACCTCTGCCTCCTAGGCTCAAGTGATCCTCCTGCCTCAGCCTCCTGAGTAGCTGGGATTACAGGCACATGCCACCATGCTCGGCCTCCCTAGTAGCTGGGACTACAGGCGGGTACTGCCATACCCGGCTACTTTTTGTATTTTTAGCAGACGGGGTTTTGCCATGTTGACCAGGCTGGTCTCAAAACTTCTGACCTCAGGTGATCCTCCTGCCTCGGCCTCCCAAAGTGCTGGGATTACAGGCGTGAGCCACCACACCCGGTCTGAGACTTTGAATCTTAAACCCAGGGGCTGGGGACAGAAGAAATAGCTCATGTGTCTTTGATGACTCCAGTGGCAAGCCCTGCTGTGGATGTTTCCAGTGGCTACCTGCATCCTGCCTCTCCAGGCCTCCTTTTTGGTCTTAGGTGCTCTCCCATACTCTTTCGAGAAATTTTTTTTTTTTTTAAATTCTTTAAGTTTTAGGGTACATGTGCACAATGTGCAGGTTAGTTACATATGTATACATGTGCCATGGTGTGCTGCACCCATTAACTCGTCATTTACATTAGGTATACCTCCTAATGCTATCCCTCCCCCTACCCCTACCCCACAACAGTCCCCGGAGTGTGATGTTCCCCTTCCTGTGTCCATGTGTTCTCATTGTTCAATTCCCACCTATGAGTGAGAACATGAGGTGTTTGGTTTTTTGTCCTTGCCATAGTTTGCTGAGAATGATGGTTTCTAGTTTCATCCATGTCCCTACAAAGGACATGAACTCTTCATTTTTTATGGCTGCATAGTATTCCATGGTGTATATGTGCCACATTTTCTTAATCCAGTCTATCATTGTTGGACATTTGGGTTGGTTCCAAGTCTTTGCTATTGTGAATAGTGCCGCAATAAACATACATGTGCATGTGTCTTTATAGCAGCATGATTTATAATCCTTTGGGTATATACCCAGTAATGGGATGGCTGGGTCAAATGGTATTTCCAGTTCTAGATCCCTGAGGAATCACCACACTGACTTCCACAATGGTTGAACTAGTTTACAGTACCACCAACAGTGTAAAAGTGTTCCTATTTCTCCACATCCTCTCTAGCACCTATTGTTTCCTGACTTTTTAATGATCACCATTCTAACTGGTGTGAGATGGTATCTCATTGTGGTTTTGATTTGCATTTTCGAGAAATTCTTTTTAAGTAGCCAGAGTAGGTTCCTGTTGCTTGAGACTGAGGGATCTTAAGTGATGCCCATGAGGAGTAGAAAATGATACCGTAACTCGAGACATTATTTAAATCCAAAAGATTAAGTCCCATTCTGTCAAAATAGAGACAGTATATAACATTTGAATTTTTACATTAAATAATGTTAAATAGGTAATATTTGTTATATATAAAATACACACTAGGCCAGGCGTGGTGGCTTATACCTATAATCCCAGCACTTTGGGAGGCTGAGGTGGGAGAATCACTTGAGGCCATGAGTTCAAGACCAGCCTGGGCAACACAGCATGACTCCATCTCTATAAAAATAAAAAATTAGCTGGGCATGGTAGTGAGGATCTGTAGCCCCAGCTACTCAGGAGGCTGAGGTAGAAGGGCCACTTGAACCCAGGAGTTCAAGGTTACAGTGAGCTACAATTGCACCACTGCACTCCAGCCTGGGCAACAAAGTGAGACCCTGTCTCAAAAAAAAAAAAAAAAAAAAAAATATATATATATATATATATATATACACACACTCATATTTATAGTGCATATATAAAATATGTATATTATATATAAATATATTACAAATTTAATATATTTGTAATTGAAAAAACATATTGAAAAAATGGTCCTATGACTTCAATACAATAATTTTTGTTTGCATTTCTTTTCTAGGTTGAATTTACATACACTTTTTTTTTTCTGAGGCAGAGTTTTGCTCTTGCTGCCCAGGCTGGAGTGCAGTCACGCAGTCTCGGCTCACTGCAACCTCCGCCTCCCAGGTTCAAGTGATCCTCCTGCCTCAGCTTCCCGAGTAGCTGGGATTATAGGAGTGTGCCACCACATCCAGCTAATTTTTGTATTTTTAGTAGAGCTAGGGTTTCTCCATGTTGATCAGGCTGGTCTTGAACTCCCGACCTCAGTTGATCTGCCTGTGTCAGCCTCCCAAAGTGTTGGGATTACAGGCGTGAGCTACCGTGTCCAGCCTTACATATACTTTTTTTCAAAGAATCTGATTGGAATACAGATTCTTTTTCAACATCTTAAAGCATTTTTCCCCCTATTCGTAGATTGTAGTTGAAGGGAGGTGGAAAGGTGAGATGGTTTACAAAGATAGGTCTTTGAGAAAAAATTTTTTTAATTAAAAGAGCTGGAAGCCCTGTTGAGCTTAGTCACTGTTGTCCGAGTGATCTAACCTTGTTGGCTCAAAATACTGTCAACCTCTTTTTTTCCTTCTCTTTGCATGACAAAGCAGCCTTTGTAGTTTGAAGATACTAATACTGACTTGCCTAGCAAGGTTTAAAAAAAGGAGCAATTTGCCTTTGGTATATGGTCTGGGTGCAAAGAGATGGTGTTAGTCACCTTCTGGCTGGGTGCCCACCTGCTTAGACTCGGGGAGTTGGGACGACTGGTGAGGCAACAAAGAGGAAGGAAGGTGTGAATGGCTATAGGTTGGTTTACGGTGTGAACACTGAACTGGAACAACTTTGACCTTTTGCATTTGCCCAGAAATTGTAATGTACCTCAAAGAATGCAATTCTCAGCTGGGCATGGTGGCTCATGCCTGTAATCCCAGCACTTTGGGAGGCCAAGGCAGGTAGATCACCTGAGGTCAGGAGTTCAAGACCAGCCTGGCCAACATAGTGAGACCCTGTCTCTGCTAAAAATACAAAATTAGCTGGGTATGGTGGCACATGCCTGTAATCCCAGTTACTCGGGAGGCAAGGTTGGAGAATCACTTGAACCCAGGAGGTGGAGGTTGTAGTGAGCTGAGATTGCACCACTGCACTCCAGCCTGGGCAACAAGAGCAAAACTCAATCTCAAAAAAAAAAAAAAAAAAAAAAAAATTGCAATCTTGGTTAGCCATGCACACTGCGTAACTTATCTGCTGTTTTTTCCTGAAACATGGACTGTGTTAATGATAATGGCATGCATTATAAGGCAGCACAGTTTGCTTTAAGGCATAAAAGAATAACTTGGAGCCATGAGCCCTGGGGTCAGTTCTACTCTTTTTCTAAATAGCCTAAGCCTGGACATGTCATGTAATTTCACTGTTAAGTGCCTCATTTGTGGATTCTTTTCTGTCAATTCCTTTGGGCTTCAGTTTTTTTCATCTGTAAAAGAAGGGGTTCAAGTGTCAAACAAGGCGATGCAAAAATGGTTATCCTCAATTTCCAAGTAAACTGGAGCTCATAAGGTTAGCCAACTTGCCCTTCATCTTTCAGTAAGTGGCAGACAGGGAATCACTAATAACTAATTCAAAGCCTCATGAATTAGTTACTTGCTATATAACAAATTTCCCAGAAACTTAACAGCTTAAAAAAATTATTATACAGAGTTTCTGTAAGGCAAGAATCTGGGGGACAATTTAGATGGTTCTGGCTCTCAAGGTCTTTTATGAGGTTGGACTTAAGCTGTCAGCCAGAATTGTGGTCTCATTTGAAGACTCAACTGGGAGAGGACCTACTTACAATGGTAGTATGTGGTAGTTAGAGGGTTTCAGTTCTTCAGTGGCTGATGGCTGGATATTTCAGTTCTACGCTACACAGGCTTTCCCTTGGGCTTCCTGAATCTCCAATAACAGGGAAGTTTGCTTCTCCCAGAGCAAGTGATCAGAGAGAGAGAGAGAGAGAGAGAGAGAGAGAGAGAGAGAGAGAGAGAGTTTGTGTACATGGGAGACAGAATCCCCAAGACAGAAGCCATGGTCCTTTATAACCTAATCTTAGAAGGCATGGTGGCTCACGCCTGTAATCCCAGAACTTTGAGAGGCTGAGGTGAGCACGTCACTTGAGGTTAGGAGCTCGAGACCAACCTGGTAAACATGGTGAAACCCTGTCTTTACTAAAATATACGAAAATAAGCCAGGTGTGGTGGCACATGCCTGTAGTCCCAGCTACTCGGGAGGCTGAGGCAGGAGGATAGCTTGAACCTGGGAGGTTGCAGTGAGCTGACATCATGTGACTGCACTCCAGTCTGGGTGACAGAGAAAGACTCTGTCTCAAAAAAAAAAGGTGGCATACAATCACTCTGCTATACGATAACCTTGTAGGATGTGGGAGGAGCTATGCAGAGGTGTGAAGACCAGAAGACAGAGGTCATTGGGAACCATCTTGGAGGCTGGCTTCCCTACTCATCCACTCCACCCTGGAGTGGATCATTTGTTCTCATTTGAAAAGACATCATTTAAATGATAACCTAGGGCCACTGAAGTCTCAGCAAAGAAATAGAAGAGAATCAAATGTAAGTGTTAGAACTGACAAATACTATAACTGGAATTTAAAATTTACTGGATGATGGCTGGGTGCAGTGACTCAAACCTGAATCCCAGCACTTTGGGAGGCCAAGGCAGGAGGATTGCTTGAGCCTAGGAGTTCAAAACCCACCTGGGCAACATAGCGAGACCCTGTCCCTAAAATAAATAAAATTTACTGGATGGGCTTAACAGCAGAATGGAGGAGACAGGAAAGAATCCATGAAGTTGAATATAAAACAATAGGAAGCTGCAATTAAACCCCTAGATGCAACTACCAATTTATAAGAAATACAAAAGACAGAGGAGAGGCCGGGTGCGTGGCTCACGCCTGTAATCCCAGCACTTTGGGAGGCCGAGGCGGGCGGATCACGAGGTCAGGAGATTGAGACCATCCTGGCTAACACGGTGAAACCCCGTCTCTACTAAAAATACAAAAAAAATTAGCCTAGCATGGTGGCGGGCACCTGTAGTCCCAGCTACTCAGGAGGCTGAGGCAGGAGAATGACGTGAACCTGGGAGGCGGAGCTTGCAGTGAGCCAGGATCGTACCACTGCACTCCAACCTGGGCAACAGAGCGAGACACTGTCTCAAAAAAAAAAAAAAAAAAAAAAAAACAAAAACAACAGAGGAGAAACACTAAGCTACACTTCAGAAAAGCAAGCAGCAGACTCCAGACCATGAGAAATCCTGCAGACAAGCTACTTCTTTCCTTCTCTTAATAAATTCCAACTAAAAAATTGCTTGGGGGGAACTTATAAATTTAGACTTAAATGACGTATTGACTAACCAGAGTGGGCCTCATTTGTATTCTGATACCACCAAACAATTGAGAAAATAAAACACATATGACATTTATGAGACAATTGGAAACTTGAGCATTGAATGGAGGTTTGATGATAAAGAATGATTGGCTGTTTTGGTTTAATCATCATATTGGGGCTATGTTAATTAGAAATAAAGTCCTTTTAGAGAAATCGGAATGATCATAGATGAAGTGATGTGATGTTTGGAATTTGTTTCAAAGTAATACGGGAAGAGGGAAGTGACAGATACACACATGGGGTGGAATTGGCAATGTGATCATGGTTACCAGGGCTGGTGATAGGTCCATGGGGAGTTCTGTTCTATTCTTTCTGTGGGTGGTTGAAGTTCTCCATAATGTAAAGTTGGAAAGACAAAAAGCTGTTACATCCCCCTATTCCATGAAGCTGACCAACTGCCCCCTGCCCCACCTGGCAGCGAACTGGAAGTTTATTCCTTTTTTTTTTTTTTTTTTTTTTTTTGAGACAGTGTCTCCCTGTGTCACCCAGGCTGGAGTGAAGTAGCACTATCATAGCTCAGTACAGCCTTGAACTCCTGGGGCTCAAGGAATCCTTCCACCTCAGCCTCCCAAGTAGCTGGGACTACAGGCATGCACTACCATGCCTGGCTAATGACATTGCTTTTATGAAGCAAAACATAGGATGTTGTCGGGCATGGTGGCTCACGCATGTAATCCCAGTGCTTTGGGAGCCTGAGGCGGGCAGATCACCTAAGGTCAGGAGTTCAAGACCAGCCTGACCAACATGGTGAAACCCCGTCTCTACTAAAAATACACAAGTTAGCCGGGCGTCGTGGTGTGCACCTGTAGTCCCAACTACTCGGGAGGCTGAGACAGGAAAATCGCTTGAACCCAGGAGGCGGAGGTTGCAGTAAGCCAAGATTGTACCGCTACACTCCAGTCTGGGTGACAGAGCTAGACTCCCTCTCAAAAGAAAAAAAAAAGATGCTGTTTATGTACATTCCAAGAACAAAAAGGATTATTGGAAATTAGAAATGATAGTAGAACTGGGCTGAGTGTGGTAGCTCACACCTGTAATCCCAGCACTTTGGGAGGCCGAGTTGGGGATCACTTGAAGTCAGGAGTTCGAGACAAGCCTGGCCAACTTGGTGAAGCCCTGTCTTTACTAAAAATACAAAAATTAGCTGGGCATGGTGGTGCACACCTACAGTCCCAGCTACTCAGGAGGGTGAGGCATGAGAATCGCTTGAACTCAGGAGGTGCAGGTTACAGTGAGCCGAGATCGTGCCACTGCACTCCAGCCTGGGCGACAGAGTGAGACTCCATCTAAAATAATAATAATAATAAAAAGATAGTACAAATGAAAACAGAATTGGAAGATGAAATTGAGGATATTTCCCATAAAGTAGAGCAAAATTGCAAAAATAGAAAAGATCAAATTATATAAAGTCCAGAACTGGAGGTCTGAAATCTGAATAGAGGAGTTCTAGAAGTGGAGAAAAAAAACATAGAGGAAAGAAAATTATCAGATAATACCATTTCCCCAAACAGAAGAAAACTGATCCAGTTTAAAGGATCCAGTGAATAGCCCAGAAAAATGGATGAAAGCTGATTTATGCCAAAGCATATCATTGTGAAAATTTAAAACTGATTAAAAAAAAGATCCAGTTGGGTGTGGTGGCTCATTCCTGTAATCCCAGCACTTTGGGAGGCTGAGGTGGGAGGATCGCTTGAGGCCAGGAGTACCAGACCAGCGTGGGCAACATAAGGAGACTCATCTCTATAAAAGTAAAAAATTAGCCAAATGTGGTGGCATGTACCTGTAGTCCCAGCTACTCAGGAGGCCAGGAGTTCAAGACCAGTGTGGGCAACATAAGGAGACCCATCTCTACAAAAAATCAAAAAAAAATTAGCCAGGTGTGGTAGCACCTGCCTGTAGTCTCAGCTACTCAGGAGGCTGAGGTGGGAGGATTGCTTAAGTCCAGGAGGTCGAGGCTGCAGTGAGCTGTGATCACACCACTGCACTCCAGCCTGGGTGACAGTGAGACCCTGTATCAAAAAACAAAAGTTACATCTAGAGTGTAAAAAGAAGTCATATATGAAAGATCAAGAATCACAATGGCTTGCGTTCTTACCTGACAAGAAATTTTAGAATCACATCCATAGGGCATTCAGTTAGCTAATCTATTCATAGGGGAAATCTAACAGGAATACACAGATGTATAGAAGAAATCTAACAGGAATACACAGATGTATAGAAGAAATCTAAATGAGTTGTCCTGAAAAATCAACCTGGGCTCCCATTCTCAAATACAAAAGATCAGACACAAGAAGAAAATCGGGGCTGGGCGCAGTGGCTCATGCCTGTAATCCCAACACTTTGAGAGGCCAAGGCAGGTGGATCACCTGAGGTTGGGAGTTCAAGACCAGCCTGACTAACATGGAGAAACCCTGTTTCTACTAAAAATACAAAATTAGCCGGGTGTGGTGGCGCATGCCTGTAATCTCAGCTACTCAGGAGACTGAGGCAGGAGAATCGCTTGAACCTGGGAGGTGGAGGTTGCAGTCAGCCAAGATTGAGCCATTGCACTCCAGCCTGGGCAACAAGAGCAAAACTCTGTCAAGAAAATTGGCATCATGGAAAAGAAAAAGGCAAATGAACAAAACAACCATTTCCCAGAAGAAACAGTCAGAATCGGGGGGAATTAAAACCAACATCCTCTAATTTATATTCTCAACAGATTTGAGAAGATTCTGTGGCCATAAAACAAAAAGATGCCATGAAAAAGGAACACTCTCAGAAATTAAATGATTACCAGAACAAAAATTCAAGAGAAAGGTTTGAAGATAAATCTTTCAGAATATAGACCAGAAAGTTACAAAGAGATGAAAGTTTGGGGAGAAGAAAAAAAGTCAATTCAGGAGGCTTACCATCTGAGTAACTGAAGTTCTAGAAAAAGACAAAAGAGAAAATATAGGGAAAGACATTAACAAAGAAACCCTAGAAGAAAATTTATCAGAATTGAGGCCAGGCATGTTGGCTCATGCCTGTAATCCCAGCACTGTGGGAGGCCAAGGGGGGTGGATCATTTGAAGTCAGGAGTTTGAGACCAGCTTGGCCAACATGAGGAAACCCTGTCTCTATTAAAAATACAAAAATTTTCTGGGTGTGGTGGTGGGCACCTATAATCCCAGCTACTTTGGAGGCTGAGGCAGGAGAATCACTTGAACCTGGGAGGCGGAGGTTGCAGTGAGCTAAAATTGTGCCATTGCATTCCAGCCTGGGTGACAAGGGCAAAACTCTGTCTCAAACAAAAAAAAAGTATCAGAATTGAAGAAAGTAAATCTCTAGGCTGAAAGGGTTCATTGAATGCCAAGCAGAATAAATAAATAAAAGATCAATCCCTGGATTCAATGCGGTGAAATTTCAGAATACCAAGAATAAACAGAAGACTCTTTCCAGAAACAAAAAATAGATTACCTATAAAAGAATGAGAATCAGACTGGCATCAGATTTCTCTTTGTGGACTCTGAATGATAGAAAAATTCCAAGTTCTGAGGGAAAATTATAACCATAAATTTAGAATCATAAATTATTTAGAACCACATAGCCATATAAGACATCATATTTTCAGATATAAACTCAGAAAGATTACATTTCAAGTACTAAGGAAGTTACTTGAGAATGTACTCCATCAAGAAAGGAAGTAAATTATATACCCCACCTCCCAAAAAGAGAAATATACAAGAAATGATGAAACCAACCCAGAAGTCCACTGAAAAACAATCCCGAGATGAGAATTGAACAGCAAACCTGGAAGCCTGTTTTTTCCATATTAGAACAGACAGGCAGCGAGCTCCAGGTAGACTATCTTCAACAAGAAGAATGAAGTTGATTCGTTCTTGTTGGAAGGATGAAATTGATTCCAAGTAGTAGACAGAATGGCTAAGATGCCAGATGATACTAATGACAAAACATAAATCTGAGCTGGGCACAGTAACTCATGTCTGTAATCCCAGCACTTTGGGAGGCCAAGACAGGCAGACTGCTGGAGCCCAGGAGGTTGAGACCAGCCTGGGCAATATGATGAAAACCCATCTCTATAAAAAATACAAAAAAAAAAAAAATTAGTGTGGTGGCATGCACTGTTAGTTCCAGCTACTCAGGAGGCTGAGGTGGGAGGATCATTTGAGCCCAGGAATTTGAGGCTGCAGTGAGCTGTGATCATGCCACTGCACTCCAGCCTGGGCAACAGAGCGAGATCCTATCTCAAAACCAAGAACAACCCCATAAATCTGTTTCTTCCATCAGTAAAAGGAAGATAAGGCAATGAGGAAACAAGAAAAAAAAATGTGTAAGAAAACTCCAGGTCCAAACATAGCCAACTGAAATGTGGTGTGATTTTGACCTTGATTCTGAAACAATCCATTTATAGAATCAACAGACAAAACAGGGAAGTCAGCAATGCACACAAAAGAGAATGTGACCATTGTCATCCTTGATATTGTCAGTGTTCAGCTGAGAAGGATGAAGGTGGGAGTATAGACTGGAACAGATGGTTCAGTGCCAATATCTTTGTCTAACATGGAGGGGATCATAAGCTACAAGCTGATAGGAAACACAGGTTCAAAAAAATATTTAAAAGTAGAAATAGAAGAACTGAAAATAGTAACTATAAAAATGGAGGCAGGAAGAGGGAAGTGTTAGTCACCTAACTCCTCATCTTTCATAAATGAAGAGCCAACAGATAATGTCCTAAATTGGTGAATCAATAAATATATGTGCATATGTCTATACATATATATAATATACACATATATATAAACTTTTATAAAAAGTATATATGTGTTAGTATAGGTATAGAAAATAATTCTGGAAGCATGTTCACCAAACTGCTGACTTCTGACTAGGAGATAGAATTGAGGGGGTGTGTCAATTTTGTCATTGGTAGCTTTTTAGTGATTTAAAATTTAGGAAAACCTCAAATACATTAAAACTGTGTAATTTCATGGTGTATATTACATGAACATAGATTCAAGACTCACGCCTGTAATCCCAGCACTTTCAGAGGTTGAGGTGGGCGGTTCATGAGGTCAGGAGATCGAGACCAGCTTGGACAACATGGTAAAACCCTGTCTACTAAAAATACGAAAAAAAAAATTAGCCGGGCGTGGTGGCACTCATCTGTAATCCCAGCTACTCAGGAGGCTGAGGCAGGAGAATCGCTTGGAGGTGGAGGTCACAGTGAGCCGAGATTGTGCCATTGCACTCCAGCCTGGGCGACAGAGCGAGACTCCGTCTTGAGAAAAAAAAAAAAAAGACCTAAGTTTCTGAAGCATAACTACATACAGTGAAAGTCTGATAAATGACCTGAAATTCTGATAAATGACCTGGGAGTTACCTGTAATAAAAAAGCATTTTTGCCAGGTGTGGTGGCTTACACATGTAATCCCAGCACTTTGGGAGGCCAAGGTGGGCGGATTGCTTGAGGTCAAGAGTTCAAGACCAGCCTGGTCAACATGGTGAAACCCCATCTCTACTAAAAATACATAAATTAGCCAGGTGTGGTGGCGGGCACCTGTAGTCCTAGCTACTCGGGAGGCTGAGGCATGAGAATCACTTTAACCCAGAAGGCAGAGGTTGCAGTGAGCTGAGATCATGCCACTGCACTCCAGCCTGGGTGACAGAGACTCTGTCTCAAAAAAAAAAAAAAAAGTGTGTGAGCTATTCTCATTTTGGTGAATCATTAATGGGAAAAATATTCTGTATCCCTGATTTACTTGTCTTTCAGAAGTGTGATTATTTAGAAAACATTTAAAGTGTTTTTTGGGAGGGGGAGGGGATCATAACAATTATTAAAAATTATGGAAACTTTTTTTTCTTTTTTTTAGAGACTCTCTGTCACCCAGGCTGAAGTGCAGTAGTGTGATATGATCACACTTGATCTCCTGGGCTCAAATGATCCTCCCACCTCAGCCTCCCAAATAGCAGGGACTACAGGCACGAGCCACCACACCTGGCTGATTTTTATTTTTATTTTTTTTGTAGAGATGAGGTCTTGCTATGGTGCCCAGGCTGGTCTTGAATTCCTGGGCTCAAGCAGTCCTTTCACCTTGGCCCCATAAAGTGCTGGGATTACAGGCATGAGCCACTGCACCCATCTGGAACCTTTATTATTTATAAAGTTCTGGTCACTATCTATGCATTCCATTCAGTAAATATACGAAGGAAACCAAAGTCTGTTTTTGGACACTTGCAGGTTTGCTCAAAGATCAAGAACGATCTTTTTTTTTTTTTTTTGAGACAGTGTCTCGCTCTGTCACCTGGGCTGGAGTGCAATGGTACAATCTTGGCTCACTGCAACCTCTGCCTCCTGGGTTCAAGTGATTCTCCTGCCTCAGCCTCCTGAGTAGCTGGGATTACAGGCACATGCCTGACTAATTTTTTGTATCTTTGTAGAGATGGGGTTTCGCCATGTTGGCCAGGCTGGTCTTGAACTCCTGATCTCAGGTGATCTGTCCGCCTCGGCCTCTTAAAGTGTTGGGATTACAGGCATGAGCCACTGTGTCCAGCCCCAAATACCATATTCTAAGCAACGGTAGGTTTATATCTTTTTAAAGTCATTCACTGTTGGTACCAACCCCCACTCACTTCCTTTCTCCTCCCACTTACATAAAAATTATTCTGCAAAGGATTGCATTTAAGGAGCAGAAACTCCTTCGGGGAAAGATGTGTTAGTCCAACAGATTCCATGAAACATCCTACAATCCTCACCCCGTTTGCGAGGTAAGCATTCTCCTAAGACCAGCCCGTTATTATAAAAATATTCCATTCCGATGCATGGTGGCTTGTCACAATTAACATTTAAACCTTAATTTTTGTCAATGAATTGAGAATTCAACCATAATCTATAAATTCAACTAAAGTAAGTACAGTCTTTCTTTAGTGAAAAATAAAACTGTTTTCCCATTTGATTCTGAGGACTCTCACTTATTAAAGAGAGGCACGGCAGCCCTCATCCTGCACTCAGAGAAGACATCACAGGCCTTGCTCTCTGAGCAGATTGCGATGTCTAAAATGATTATACCTCTAATTGACAACCCGAGATGAAAACTCACAGCAGAAATACATGCGGCTTGTAGAGACAGAACTGCTCAAGCCTTTTAAATAGCAAAGGTTGGGGCTGCCTTACAAGAAATAAAGTTACCAAAGATACGTCCCAAGTATATTTAAATTGGTAAGGTTCCTGAATTAACCACTGTTAATTTTTAAATCTCTTTAGAAACTGTCTAGATAAGCAGCAAAAACACCAAACATGAAGTTACTTTCCGCATATCATCCTGGTGAACCCGCCAAACACTTCCCTTTGTATGCCCATATCCAAGGCATATTGATGTCCACAGAGAAAGGGATGGTTCAGTTGGACCCTTCTGCCTCATTTTTACTTTTTTTTTTCTTTTTCTTTCCTTTTTTTCTTTTTCTTTTTTTTTTTGAGACGGAGTCTCTCTCGCTCTGTCGGGAGTGCAGTGGCACAATCTTGTCTCACGGCAACTTCTGCCTCTGGGGTTCAAGCAATTCTCCTGCCTCAGCCTCCCGTGTAACTGGGATTATAGGCACCTGCCACCACGCCTGGCTAATTTTTGTTGTTGTTGTTGTTTGTTTTTCTGAGACAGAATCTCGCTCTGTCGCCCAGGCTGGGGTGCAGTGGTGTGATCTCGGCTCACTACAACCTCTGCCTCCTGGGTTCAAGTGATATTCCTGCCTCAGCTTCCCGAGTAGCTGGGACTACAGGCGTGTGCCACCATGCCCGGCTAATTTTTTGTATTTTTAGTAGAGATGGGCTTTCACCGTGTTAGCCAGGATGATCTCAATCTCCTGACCTCTAGATCTGCCTGCCTCGGCCTCCCAAAGTGCTGGGATTACAGGCGTGAGCCACCGTGCCCAGCCTATACATTGTTTTAATGATGCATTTATGTGATGGGCTCCATGACTAGAAGTGAACCACAAAATACAGGGACTATATCTTGTTGATCTTTTAAAATTCCTTGCATGTTACCACATTGCCTGATACATAGGAGGTTCTTAATGTTTGTGGCCAGGTGCAGTGGCTCACACCTATAATCCCAGCACTTTGGGAGGCTGAGGCAGGAGGACTGCTTGAGCCCATGGGTTTGAGACCAGCCTGGGCAACATAGGGAGAACCTGTCTCTAGAAAAAAAAATTTTTTTTTTTAATTAGCCAGGCATGATGGTGCACACCTGTGATCTCAGGATTGGGAGCCTGAGGCTGGAGGATCAGTCAAGCCCAGGAAGTGGAGACTGCAGTGAGCTATGATCGCACCACTGCACTCTAGCCTGGGCAACAGGGAAAGACCCTGTCTCAAAAAAAAAACCAAAAACAAACAAACAAAACAGTTTGCTTACTATTCTACAGTACAAAGAGAGGAACAATGAATTAATATTACTAATAGTTGCATACAAATAACAAAATTGTGCTTTCTAGAATATGGTTCCTGGGAAGAAAAAAATCAAAATCTTAAAGCCATTCTATGGACTAAGTCCTAGGTAGGACTAGGTTCAGAGAAGTCCTAGGCAGATAGAGGATTGATGCAGGCTAAACAGACAGACACACAGACGGTGTTGGCTATCAGCACGATGCAGGCACCAGAAAAAAAGGGCAGGAACCTGGATTGGAGATCTCTCTCCTTGAAAAACCTTCGTCATGTTCACTAAGCAGGAATAGTAACTAATAATTACCTAGCATCCCTCCCTCACACAAACCGGATGCCGTTAAACCTCAAATTAATTTAATTTGTTTCTGTGAACGTATTTAAGTAATGAGGTACAGCTCCCCACCCCTTTCTTGGTAGTAGGGGAATCTTTGTCACATTGAACCACATACTTGGTTTTATTTTTGCACAATCAAAGTAAGATTAGAGCCTCGCCAGGACTCAGCAGAAGGATGAGTTTGATTTAAATACTCTGCAGATGCATAGGGCAATGATTTGGTTACGGGTTCTGCACAACTGTACGACTAGAGAATTGGGTCACCTCCTTGCCAGCAGGAACTATGGTGAATATTTGCAAGAGCTGGGCACTCAAATCCCATTCTTCTTGATGAGTACAAGAATGTCTGGCTGGGCGCGATGGCTCATGCCTGTAATCCCAGCAGTTTGGGAGGCTGAGGCTGGCGGATCACTTGAGGTCAGGAGTTCGAGACCAGCCTGGCTAACATGGAGAAAACCCATCTCTACTAAAAAATACAAAAATTAGCCAGGCGTAGTGGTGCATGCCTATATTCCCAACTACTCGGGAGGCTGAGGCAGGAGAATCGCTTGAACCCAGGAGGCGGAGATTGTGGTGAGCTGAGATCGCGCCATTGCACTCCAGCCTGGGCAACAAGAGTGAAACTCCGTCTCAAAAAAAAGAGAAGAATGATTCATGAAGTTTCCAGTTTGTTTAATGTCACTGCGCCTGTAATCCCAGCACTTTAGGGGGCGGCCCAGGTGGGGAGATCACTTGAGGTCAAGAGTTCAAGACCAGTCTGGCCAACATAGTGAAACCCTGTCTCTACTAAAAATATAAAAATTAGCCAGGTTTGGTGGCATGCGCCTGTAATCTCAGCTACTCAGGAGGCTGAGGTGGGAGGATTGCTTGAGCTGAGGAGATCAAGGCTTCCCTGAACTATGATTGCACCACTGCACCCCAGCCTGGGCAACAGAACAAGACCCTGTCTCAAAAACAGAAACAAAGGCCTGGTGCGGTGGCTCATGCCTGTAATCCCAGCACTTTGGGAGGCTGAGGCAGGTGGATCATATGAAGTCAGGAGTTCGAGACCAGCCTGGCCAACATGGTGAAACCCTGTCTCTACTAAAAATACAAAAATTAGCCGGGCATGGTGGCACGTGCCTGCAGTCTGTCTGAGCTACTCGGGAGGCTGAGGCAGGAGAATCGCTTGAACCCAGGAGGCGGAGGTTGCAGGTTGCACGTGAGCCGAGATCGTGCTGCTATACTCCAGCCTGGGTGTCAGAGCAAGACTCCATCTGGAAAACAACAACAACAACAAAAAACAACTTGATGCTCAGATGAAAAGCAAAAGAAGCCTAGATCCTAGACAGAGAAGATTTTAAAGGTTAATATGATCTGGCCACTGGCCTCAGAGGCACCAGCTCAGGAACAGAAATGTGCTCTCAAGAGGCATTCACTATAACTGTCCACTCCCACCAGGGACCCTCTGCACAAAATCCCAGATTTTCTCAGGATAAGAAGCTTCACTAGGAGCTTTTGGAGCCAAGGCAATCACACACATACTAATAAGAACTGCCATTTACCAAGAGCTTGCTGTATTGGAATGCTAAATCTACATTCATGATTTAAGCCTCACCAATAACTTTCAGGGAGAAGTATTATTTCCATTTTACAGATAAGCAAAGCAAGGCTTGGAGAATTTTAGTATCTTGCTTCAGCACCGGCTGGTGATATGGTGGAGGCTGGATAGAGTGTGGGCCTCCGTGGGTCATAGTCTTCCTCTTTTCAGCACACCTGCTACCTTTCAAAAGGGTTGTTATTGTCCTGGATCCTGAACACATACATGCAGGATATGCTCGACATCATTTGCTTGATAATTTCCTTTAGAAAAAATTATTGGGGCCAGGCATGGTGGTTCATGCCTGAAATCACAGCACTTTGGGAGGCAGAGGCAGGCGGATCACTTGAGGTCAGGAGTTCGAGACCAGTCTGGCCAACATGGTGAAATATCATCTCCACTAACTACTAAAAATACAAAACTTAGCTGGGTGTGATGTGGCACGCTTGTAATCCCAGCTACTCGGAAGGCTGAGGCAGGAGAATCGCTTGAATCTGGGAGGTGGAAGTTGCTGTGAGCCGAGACGGTGCCGTTGTACTCCAGCCTGGGCGACACTGCAAGACTCCGTCTCAAAAAAAAAAAAAAAAAACGGTTCTTGGGCTGAGTGCGGTGGCTCATGCCTGTAATCTTAGCCCTTTTGGGAGGCTAAAGCAGGAGGACCACTTGAGGCGACTAGCCTGGCCGACAGAGTGAGACCCTGTGTGTATAAAAAATAAAAAAATTTAGCCAGGTATGTTTGGTGGCACATGCCTGTAGTCCCAGGTACTTGGGAGACTGAGGTGGGAGGATTGCTTGAGCCCAGGAGTTCGAGGCTGAAGTCAGCCATGATGATGGCACTGCCTTCCAGCCTGGGTGACAGAGTGAGACCCTCTCTTTTAAAGAATAAATAAGGAGTTATTAATCTAGGGACTACAGGCCCTTACAGGATTCATAAATTGGTTTCAGGTGATCATAAACCCACTGAAATCAGAGGCAAATTTTGATGTGTATTTGCACATATGAATTTTTCTGGAGGAAGGAGTCCAGAGTTTCCATCAGATTGTCAAAGAGGTTTGGGACTCAGAAACTGGTTAAGAACTACTGCAGTCAGATCCAAAGACAGATTTGCCCACTGGAAAATATTTCAAATGCCCAATAACACTGACTCAGGGAACTGATACATTTCTGGGAAATAAAAGCAGTCAAATGCTACCTAGAAAGCAGGGTCAAAACTGCTCTGTGTAAAGCCATTGCAAAGAGGACACTTGAGGAGGCTCACCGAGTTCCATCTCTGTTTCAGCAGAATTGTTTGACATTTTGCATCTGTTTGTTCCAGATAGCTTTAGAAGATTGTATTTTCGAGGAATGTGATACATGATGAAAGGAAGGGAAGATGATATATCTTAAGTTCAATATGATAGCGTCTGATGATTTTTAAGTGGGCAAATGCTTTTTGTTATTTTTAATCAACTTTTTTTTTTTTTTTAAAGACATGGGGTCTCATTCTGTGATCTAGACTGGAATGCAGTGGCACAATCATAGCTCACTGCAGCCTTGCGCTACTGGGCTCAAGCCATCCTCCCACCTTGGCCTCCTGAGTAGCTGGGACTACAGACATGCACCACCTCACCCAGATAATTTTTAAATTTTTTGTAGAGATGGGGGTCTCGTTATGTTGCCCAGGCTTTTATCAAAAAAAAAAATTTTTTTTTTTGAGATAGAGTCTTGCTCTTATCGCCCAGGCTGGAGGGCAGCAGTGCAATCTCAGCTCACTGCAACCTCCGCCTCCCGGGTTCAAGAGATTCTCCTGCCTCAGCCTCCCGAGTAGCTGGGATTACAGGCGCCTGCCACTACACCCAGGTTATTTTTGTATTTTTAGTAGAGATGGGGTTTCACCATGTTGGCCAGGATGGTCTCAAACTCCTGACCTCAGGTGATCCACCCGCCTTGGTCTCCCAAAATGCTGGGATTACAGGCGTGAGCCACTGTGCCCGGACTTTTATCAACTTTTAATGGAGTAAGTTGTATGGATAGAGTATACAAGCAGCTCCATAAGTACATTTTTATTGAAAATGGTGCTGGAAAATGCCATTCACGTTCATGCCTTTGTGCAGCTGTTCCTTCTATCTATAATGCCCTTCCTCACCACTTTGCCCAGCAAACTTGAACGTTGGCTTTAAGCTCTAGATTAAGATCATCTGTGACTCGAGATGTCTCCATTTCTCTTCTTATGTAGAATTGTTCTGTCATCTATGTTCTAGCCTGCTATACACATCCCCATCACTGTATCATTGTCAGTTGCTCATGTCTGTTTCATCCAGTTAACTGACCCTCTGGAATGCTGAAGCTGTAATAGATTTATTTTGTATTCCTTGTTCCTAGCCACATAGCAGGTGGCCAATGTTTGCCGAATGAGTAAAACATGAGCTTCCAGGTAGGAAGGTCCCCTTTGTGCAGCTGTGGTGAAAGATACTATTGGGTATATCTAGCAATTTCAAATGGTCCCAGTTTATGACGGTTTGACTTACGATTTTTTGATGTTATGGTAGGAAAGCGACACACATTCAGTAGAAACCACACTTCAAATTTCGAATTTTGATTCAAAATTCTTTATAATAACTTTATCGTAAAATAGGCTTTGTGTTAGATGATTTTGCCCCACCGTATGGTAATGAAAGTGTTCTGTGCACATTTAAGGTAGGCTGGGCTAAGCTATAATGGCTGGTAGCTTAGGTGTAGTAAATGCATTTTCCGTTGTTTTTTTTTTTTTTTTTTTTTTTTTTTTTTTTTTTTTAAGACACAGTCTCGCTCTATTGCCCAGGCTGAAGTGCAGTGGCACAATCTCGCCTCACTGCAACCTCTGCCTCCCGAGTTTAAGTGATTTTTGTGCCTCAGCCTCCCGAGTAGCTGGGACTACAGGTGCACACCACCACACCCAGTTAACTTTTGTATTTTTAGTTGACAGGGTTTCACCATGTTAGCCAGGCTGGTCTCGAACTCCTGCTCGCAGGTAATCCCCCCACCTCAGCCTCCTAAAGTGCTGGGATTACAGGCATGAACCACCATGCCCGGCCTCCGCAAATGCATTTTTGACATATTTTCAACATATTATGGGTTTATCAGAATGTAACCCCATTGTACATCAAGGAGCATCTGTACTTGTTAATGAATGAACAAAATGCCTTTCAGAAACCTCCAGAAGCAACCTCCTGACTCAAAGATTAAGGAAACAGTCAAGCCAACGAAGAACCAGCCGTCGGGGCGGGGAGAAAAACAACAAAATTAAGCAATGAAAGGTTTCCAGGTCAGGAACACCTGGGGATAAGAACAGGAGCCTGCACCCAGGTAAGCAGAGAGTGATGTCTGGTTTTGTTTAGAGAGGAGACTCTTTGAATAGGGGGGAAATACTAACGGGATTGGCAGAAGAATGGGGATTACTTGGGAGCATTAGAGACTGGATGGATTAATTCAGACCCAGGCATTCACTCTCTGTGACAATCATCTACAAATGGAAACAGCTGGATTGTGGCTCTACTGCTATTGCTTAAACATTGCTTATATTCTTGGGTCTTTCTTGAGGATAACTGAAAGAGCCGCAAGGTGCCATAGAAATGACCTAGGACCATCCTTTTATTTGACAGATGTGATGCCTTGAATCCTGCCCAGGAGAGACTCTGCTTTCACTAGGGTCATCCGAGGCAGGCAGGCAGGCAGGCAGGCGGGCAGGCAGGCAGGTATGTCTAGGCGCTCTAGGTAGAAGGCTCTGTTCCGAAGACTGTGACCTTAGGACAGGCACAAGGCTGCAGGGGATGGTAGCAATGGCCCAGAGCCTACTTTCCTTGGGACACACACACACACACACACACACACAGTATTAAAAGAATTTGTTCAAGTTGATTGATGAAGAATCAAATAAAAATAAAAAAGAACTTGTACATGAAAATGGGTAGTGGGGTCTGGGAGCGGTGGCTTAGGCCTGAAATCCCAGCACTTTGGGAGGCTGAAGCGGGCAGATCACCTGAGCTCAGAAGTTTGAGACCAGCCTGGCCAAAACAGCGAAACCCCATCTCTACCAAAAATACAAAAATTAGCTGGGTGTGGTGGCTAACGCCTGTAATCCCAGCTATACAGGAGGCTGAGACACGAGAATCACTTGAACCTGGGAGGTGGAGGTTGCAGTGAGCCAAGACCGTGCCACTGCACTCCAGCCTGGGTGACAGAGTGAGACCCTGTCTCAAAAAACAACAACAACAACAACAAGGTAGTGGGTAAAAAACAAGTTTGATAAACCTAGTTTTCCCTCTTTCTAATAATACCAGTTTATTTCTATAACATGCTAACAGAGAGGAGTTTGTTTGCTGGAGAAAGCGCATAATGAGCTTTTTCTGTGTGTGTGTGTGTGTGTGTGTGTGTGTGTTTTGAGACAGTGTCTAGCTCTGTCACCCAGGCTGTAGTGCAGTGGCCTGATCATAGCTCACTGCAGCCATGAACTCTGGGGCTCAAGTGATCCTCCCACCTCAGCCTCCCAGTACCTGGGACTACAGGCGCGCACCACCATGCCCAGCTAATTTTTGTATTTTTTGTAGAGATGGAGTCTCCCTATGTTGCCCAGGCTGGCCTCAAAGTCCTGGGCTCAAGTGATCCGCCCGCCTCGGCCTCCCAAAGTGCTGGGATTACAGGCTACAGCCACCGTACCCAGCCATGAGCTTTTGGTTCTAACCTGCAACCCCGGGAGAAGGGGAAATTTAGCAGAAGACATGGGAACACAAACCACAATGCCACTTTCTTGTTTGGTAAAATTGTATGCAGAATGGATAATAACAAACATCCGCCTCTCAACTTTATCCCTCCCTCTCATCTCGTTTTCCTTGTCCGTATATGGCACTTCTGCGATTCTGGCAACTTTGTTATGGGTCAGTGGAGCACACCCGTTGCACAGAACACACCTAAGGGCTTTGTCTCTTTGAGAAGTCCCTCCCTTGAACTTGCACGATCGAAAGCTCTTAACTGAAAAAAACTGGTATTGCACGCCTGTGTGCAAGGAGCTTGGTGTGGACACAGCCCACGGTTTCATGCAAACCACTCTTCAGTCACTCAGGAGCCCAGAGCCTCGCAGAGACAGGGGTCAAGACAGAGGGCGACCGCGCGCTGGGTCCCGGGGCCAGCTCTGCTCTCCCTTCCCGGGCTCGGGGCCAGACCCTCCCACCCACCGACCACAGGAAGGGTGAAGACCCCAACCCGCGGGATCCGGGCCCCGCGCGCCCGAGGCAGGCGTGCGGGCGACGTAGCAGCGCACCCCGCCCCGCCCCAGCGTACGTGGCGGGGGCGCGCACGCACGCAGGCGCGGGGGCGCGCAGGGCCGGGCCGGCACGGCGGCGGGCGCGCGCGCGGCTCGGAGAGGCGGCGGCAGCGGCGGAAGCGGCGAGGGCGGCGGGCGTCCGGCTCTGAGGTGGTGGAGGCGGCGGAGGCGGCGGCGGAGGCGGCGGCGGCTCGGGACTGGGCTCGGCTGGAAGCAGCGAGGGTCAGAGCGCCGCAGCAAGCGCCGATCTCCCGGCTCGACCATCCGCCTGCCGCCCGGACGCCTGGGCCGCGGAGTTTGTGTCCCGGCTCGGACCCCGGCGCCCAGCCCGGAGCCGTAACCTTGAGGCGGCGGCGGCGGGGCCGGGCCGGGCCGGGCTGGGGGGCGGTGGCGCTGGATCCGCGGCTGCCCGATCGTTGGCGGGAGATGTCGAACCCCGGGACACGCAGGAACGGCTCCAGCATCAAGATCCGTCTGACAGGTACGGCCGGCGGGAGGCCCACCCGCGCCCCGGCGCCCCCTCGCCCGCCCCGGAATTCCCCGCAGGGCGCCCTTGGAAGCGGCCCTCCCCCACGCCGGCCGTTGTCCCAGGACCTCGTCACCCCCTTCGGCGTGCGCCCCTCGCTTCTCCCTCCTGGCCCCGCCCCCTCGCCGTTGCCCGGCCCCGCCCCCTGGCCGCTCGCGCCCCCTCGGTCTCGCGTTCCCTCCCGTTCCCCCGCACCTGCCCCCTCGCATCTCCGTCCTGGCCCCGCCCCTCTCATTTCCATTCATGGCCACGCCCCTTGCATCTCCTTCCCTGGCCCCGCCCCTCGCTTCTCTTTTCCTGGCCCCGCCCCTTGCATCTCCTTCCAGGCCCTTTCCCCTCACCTCTCCCCGGCTCGGCCCCTTGCCTCTCGCTTCCCTTCCTCTCCCTAGCACCTGACCCCTCGCTTCTCCCCCCAGGCCCCGCCCCCTTGCCTTTCACCTCCATCCCTGTGGTCCTTTCTCTTCCCCACCTTTCCTCCCCAAACCTGACCCCGCCCATCTCTCTGGCCCCACCCCCTCGCTCCTCTCTGCTCCCGCCTCCTAACTTTCTGTCCCCGCCCCCTCGCTTCTCCCTGCGTCCAGCTCCCTCGCTTCTCTCTGGTCCCGCCTCCTCACTTCTTTCCTAGCCTGGGCCCTCACTTCTTCCTGGTCCCGCCTCCTCACTTCTTTCCTAGCATCGGCCCTCACTTCTTCCTGGTCCCGCCCCCTTGCTTCTCTCCTTTTTTTCTCCTCCGCCGTTTTTACCCCCTCCCTCCTTCTCCTCGCTTCCCATCCTCTCCGCCCACCTGCCCCCTCGCTTTTCCCTCCTGGCCTTGCCTCTGTTCCCCTGGTCCCATCCCTCACTTCTCACCACTTTCCCATCATCTCTCTTGCTTTCCTGTTTTCCCTCCCACCTGCTCCCTCCCCTCATCCTCCTGGTCTTTCCCACCACTTCCAAGCTATTTTGCTACCTCCCCTTCCACTTGCCCCCTTGCTTCTCCCCTCCTGCCCCCACCCACCCTCTTCTCACTCCCCCATCCTCTTTCGTTTCTCCCTCACCCCCCCACACCGTCCTCCTCCCTTCTTCCCCTAGCCCCGCCCCTCACTTTCAAGCCCCGCCCTCATTCCTGCCTAGCCCCGCCCCCTCGCTGCTGTCTGGCGAGGCCTCCACCCTTTCTTTCCTTCAGCCTGAAATTCCTCAATCCTATCTTGTAGCTGCTCCCAGTCCTGCTCTCTTCACTTCCCCCTGGTCCAGCCCTCTTCAGTCTCAGTCTGGGCCACTTCCTGTCTCTTAGGCCAGACCGCTAGCTACTTTTAACTCTGCTTCTTCAATTTTTACCTTTTCTGCATTTTGTTTCACCATCACCCCCACACTCAGCAACCCAGAGCGCCGTGAGGCTCTGATCCCTACTCCCACACTCACTGGAGGCTTTGGAAGCTGCCCACACGCAGGCTCCTTGATTCATTTTGTCTTCAATGAAAAGTCCGTGTTTCCTGGGTGGCTCTGTAGTGCCACCTTCAAGGGTGAGCGCAACGCTCTGCCGCGGGCCTGCGACTTGGTGGCGCGGATGTGATGCCAACCTGTTTCCCCCCGGGCTCCAGAGGTTCTGGACCAGGCTGCATCCTCGTCTTCCCTTTCTCACTCTCATTGGTACTACTCTCTTTCCAGTTTCAATTCATCCCTAAAGCAGGATGGCCGTGTTGCAAATGCGGCTCTGCTCCGGGACTTTCCAAACTCGAATATTTCCAGCTCTGGAAGGAAACTAAAAAGTTCATTCTAATCCCCGTCAGGGATTTTCCCCTGGATTTTTCTGTTCAGTGGCTCAGTCGGGTGAGAACTCCAAAGTCCTGGTTTGGTCAGGTCCTTTCAAAGAGAGAATGAGCGTTTTGAACACTTTATGGCAGATGCGCAGCCATAAAGTCATCGGTAAAATCCATGCAAACAATAGGTAATTTTTTTAAACTAAAATTTACTTTGAGAGCCCATAGTTGTTGCATGGCCCAACTTTTGTCTTAAGAGAAGGTTTTGTTTTTTTGTATAAAGATATCAAATAATGATTTGGACCCAAACCCAGACCCTGGTTTTGTAACGTAGGAGGTAGTTTCCTCTGGGATCTTTGCTTCTGGGGAAATACATTTCTTTATGCCAGGGCTGATAGGAAACGCTTCTCACTTTGTAGATACAATGTAGATACATTTTTATTTATGTGGTAAGATAAAAGTAACATTTTTGAGATTGTAATACTTGTAAAGCTTTTAACTTGGTTCTGATTTACAGCTCAGTCTGTAATTGACATCAGATTGGTTTCAGTTATCTTGTTAAAAGCGAAAGCAACTGATTTTGTGTTAGAAATATGATGAATGTTTTAGAAGGAATAGGTTTTAATTGAAATGTTTATGTCTGGTGTATGTATATTAATCAATCCTATTTGCCAAGCCTGAGCCTTGAAAGGGAGGACTTGGTTTCTCCTCCTACCAAATTATTTTTGGATTTAGGAATTTAGATTATCGAAGCAAGAATGCTTTGAGGAATTTTTGGATGACATTTGATAGGGAAGGATCAGGTGATGAGTGTTGTTTCTGAAACACCTTTTCCCTTTCCCTTTCCCTTTCAGTAGATGTTATGAATGGTTTGAGAGGATTTGTGAGTGTGATCATCCTTACAATAGGATTGCGGTTTAGCGGTAATGGTACACATGCAATGCCAGTACGTGGAACCTTAGTTTACCTCGAAAGGTTTGAACTAGAAGTTTGTTGACGGTGGAATAGGTTTTAGTCTCATCTTTCTGGTTAAGGGAAGTTTGAATTCTCACTTCTGGGATGTTGAGAAGCAATCTTTCAAAATTTGAATACTTTTGTTACAGGTTTCAGAGTTTATTTCCATGTTTGTTATTTGGAAAAAAAAAAAAGACTGTTAAAAATGAGGGATATTTCAACCAGTCAATGAATAGACACAGAGCGAAATTCAGTGCAAAGATAGTGAAGATGGCCTGGCGCCGTGGCTCACGCCTGAATCCCAGCACTTTGGGAGGCTGAGGCAGATCACGAGGTCAGGAGGTTGAGACCATCCTGGCTAACACGGTGAAACCCCGTCTCTACTAGAAATACAAAAAATTAGCTGGGCGCGGTGGCTCACACCTGTAATCTCAGCACTTTGGGAGGCTGAGGTGGGGCGGATCACGAGGTCAGGAGATTGAGACCATCCTGACTAACACAGTGAAACCTCGTCTCTAGTAGAAATACAAAAAATTAGCTGGGTGTGGTGGCGGGCGCCTGTAGTCCCAGCTACTGGGTAGGCTGAGGCAGGAGAATGGCTTGAACCTGGGAGGTGGAGCTTGCAGTGAACCGAGATTGTGCCACTGCACTTCAGCCTGGGCAACAGAGTGAGACTCTGTCTCAAAAAAAAAAAAAAAAAAAAAAAGGATACTGAAGATACTACATTTAGAACTTTGGGGTCCACGATTCTATTTGGGGGTGAATAGGGCATTAGATTTACAGTTAGGAGACCTAGATTCTAGACAGATTTCTCATTAACTACATGTTACGGAACAAGTTATTTAACCTTTTTGGGTCTCAGTTTCTTTATATATCAAATGAGATTTCAGCTCCATTATAATACTCTTTGATCCTCCTTCTCACAGGATATATCAATTTAGCTACCTACTTATTTCAAATTACTGTTGGGCACTTGGGCTTAGTGGTATTCTTAATCCTGATATTCAGAAAATTGTGTTGGAGTGTAGCACATGTGTTTGATTTATGCCAAGCATTAATTTTGTGTATTGATTACATTTATGACTTTATTTCTTCATGTGGGATTGTTTTTGAAAACTGTTGGGTAATATGTTGAACTGCTTTGGCAACCTGGTCTAAACAGTAGAAGAATATTTGAGCCTTTGTATTTAAAATAATAACATTTTAACGAATGTTTTTGTGGTATTTTAGTAGGAAAATAGTTTTTAAATGGTTTCAGTAGGTTTAGGGGCATAATATATCCAGAATCAAGTGATCTTTTGTTAAAGAGCATTATCTTGTAGTCATTGGAGTTCACTGGCAAATCAAACACTTTAGAAACATTTTGATTGAAAAATCAAGCAGGATTTGCAAAAACTTTGTTCTTATCTGGTACACAAATGAATCCCAGACACATTGTTTAGGCCACTTTGGGTAAAAGAATGGAATTCAGGGTTCTACAATGCTCTTCAAGAAAATTAAATTTTATTGTAATGTCAACCAATTAGTTGAAATACAAGTGCCTAAACTTTTTTGTGCTTTTATGCATTGAAATACTCTCAGATATCCTGGTGTTTTTATATCTTTTGGAGCATGACTGCATATTGTGAAGTAAGAAAAACTCTAATTCCAAACAGAGAGGAACAAAGAGACTTTCCTTGATAGCATGTGGAAATATGAGGTTGTTTTTAAAATTGTAGCTTGTGGGATGTAAGGGTGACTTGTGTTTTGGCATTCAGATGGTGCAACTGTGAGTGAAATAGTTGTGGTAATAGCTGTTGATGATGTTGGTTGATGAATTACAGGTGTCTCAATTGATTCAAAATAGTTAAGTCTCTCAAGAAAGATTAAGAAAATTGTTAAGACTGTTGACTTTGTCAATTTGTACCAGCTAAGAACCTCACTTATGTGAGGCAGGCAAAACTTTTGTTTCAAAAACCATATAACACAGTTGCTGTGATAAGATGGAATAAGTGGTCAGTTTTTAGCTCCCTTTGCATTTACATTTTCCTTAGGGTCTGCCTCAAGTTTAGGAAGATACAGTTAAGGCAGTTCTTTGAGATGAATTATTGGAAGGTGTAGGATGGGTTAGAACAAATGCTGTTGCAAAACTTGAATTGCAATTATACTTTAAGAAGAATCACATTCTGCCAAATAGAGGTTTTTGTCATTGATTTTGTGATTTGATCACATTTGTGTTGCCTTTTAGAACAACTTTCTTTTTTCAAATCCATTTTTTTTTCCTTTTAATCTTCTTGGCCCACCCAACTGACTTTAGACATGAAATCTTTCATATGCTTTATTTCTATCTCCATTTTTACAGTAGTTGTGATTTATCAAACTAGGATTTTTAACTTCAAGTCCATCTGTCAGAGTTTAAAACCTCTAGTCTTGCAGTTACAAAAGTCCTTTCTGAATGTTGGGTTTTTCTTTCTCTTCCACACATTTTCATTTTCTCGGTTCAGTCACAATGTCAGGTTCTAGTGTGGAAAATTGGGTGAAAGAAAGGTTTTGGAGGCTGTGTTATTTATGAAATATTTCCTCATGGATTAAGAAAGAAAAAAAGACAAAACGACAAATAGTGTTTCAATATCACCTCAGTGATCCAGTTAACTAGACTGGCTGTTTTGTACAACATCGTGGGCACTGGTTAACAGTTAAAATAGCTGAATTGTGCGTTTTATTCAGTGGTTCAAAAAAGCCTCAAATGGATGAAATAACTTGATATCTTCGCCATGCTCTGATTTGCTGGGTAAGACAGCTAACTTTTAGGATGCTTATTTGGATCAATTTTTTATAATTTCAAAACCATTTTAGAGGCTAATTTTTTTTTAAACAAGGAATATACAATTTTTTTTTTTTGTCACTGAACAAGTTTTAAATTACTGGTTTGTTATTTTGTAAGTGAATTTGTAAGTGAAAGCCTCCAACTTAAATTAGCTTCTTGTCCAGGGAACTCATTCTGACTGACTAAAGTCCCTAAGGCCTTTCTAGTTAAAGGAAAGCCATGGAGCTATGTTTAAAAAACAAAAGCACATAGCTATGGGGCTTGGGCATATCTTCTTTTTAAAATGTCACTATTACTGTTTTGTCTCCAGATGCAATTTAATCCATTTAGATATTTAAACCAAGTGGAATGTTGTTTCCACATTTCTGGACTAATGGGGGAAAAAACACCCTCATATTGTTTTAAAACAAGGCTTAAATAATGTATAATCAGCGCGTCTGGTGACGCGCCCCACTCTGTAATTCCAGCTGTGTTCACCTCCACTGCAGCTGAAAGGAATTCTAATTGGCTGAGGAATGTCGGCAACATCGTTTATCACTGAGCAGGAACCTATCCTCCTGGCTGCTGGGTGATGCATTTCAGATGTTTTAAGCTCCGGAGCCCAACTTGCAGCTTGCTTTCAGGAGTCTGGAGGAGCATGTCACGAAGCTGCAGATTGTAGATGGCAGCCTGCGTTCTTTGTATGTTGGGCATCCGCTGAGTTCTCTAAAGGGCATGATGCTTTCCTGTGGTTCCAACACTGGACTGGGGATCAGAAGGTCTGAATTTGATTTCTAATTCACACAAGTACCACAATGAAGAAAGGGGAGGGGGTGCATAGGATTATGATCTTTTCATGATTCAGTTTTCCTATCTTTAATGCCAGAGATCTGTCTTTTTAGAGCACAAAAGGACCTGCTAGAGATGGATTAAATATTTTAATGAGTAGTTATGAATTATTTATAGAGTAGCACAGTATTAATACAGTCATAGATTCCTGTTATGTCTTATTCCTAAATAGCCAGGTAAATAATAAAGCTAATAACGTACTTTGACATTGAAGAAAATCTATAGAACCGGTTAATAAACATGGAAAAATAATACAATGAATTGATAAATTATGTATTCAGAAATTCCTTAGAGAAATAGTGTTAGAAGCCAAAACCAGTATTATCTTTATTTTTATTTTATGTTTTTCCCAGGCCAGGTAATGTGCCATCGGACAGTATCATGTTTATTTTTTGTTTTGTTTGGAGATGGGGTCTCACTCTGTTACCCAGACTGGGGTGCAGTGGCACCATAACAGCTCACTGCAGCCTCGACTTCTTGGGCTCCAGTGATCCTCCCACCTCAGCCTCCCGAGTAGCTGAGACCACAGGCATGTGCCACCACGGCTGGCTAATCATTGTAGTTTTGGTAGAGATGGGGTTTCGCCCTGTTGCCCGGCTGGTCTTGAATTCCTGAGCTCAAGCAATCCACCTGCCTCAGCCTCCCAAAGTACGTGGATTACAGGCATGAGCCACTGCACCTAGCCAGCATCATCTTTAAATGATGAAATTGTGGAAACATTCCCATTAAAATCAGGAACAATGCAGGGATGTACACTGTCAAAATAGTTATTATTAATAACTAGAGAAAGACATCAGAAAGCAGGAAACAAAATTGCTGTTATTTATAGACGTTATGATATATCTTTAAAAGCCCAAAAGATCAGCTGAAAAACACTTATAAACAATAAAAAACTTTAGCTGGATGGAAAATTTCTCCATGGCAAAAAATAGGATAAAATCAACATGCAAAGACAAACTAGGAACAACAATCTGTAATGGATACGAAAATGAAAGTCTGGTTTTCCTAATATATAAAGAGCCTTCAAAATCAATTAGGAAAAGGCCAGTACCTAATAGGCAAAGAATATGGACAATTCACAGAAAAGAAAATGGAAATGGATTTGAAACATGTGAAAAGACAACCCTATTTTCTCTCTTCTTCTTTCCTTTTCTTCTTTAGAGATGGGGTCTTGCTCTGTCGCCCAGGCTAGGCTAGAGTACACTGGCGTGATCATAGCTCACTGCAGCCTGGAACTCCTGGGCTCAAGCGATCATCAGCTTCCTGAGTAGCTGGGACTGCAAGTATATGCCGCTGTGCCCTGTTCTCTCTTATGCCCATTTTCTTTCTCTAAAAATTTATTTTTAATTGATAATCAGCCCTATTCATACTAAACAAACTACAAATTAAAAGTAAGAATGAAACAATTTTTCATCTAGAAGAGTGGCAGATCAAAGAGATTGAAAATCTTCTGTGATGAGACAAGAGTGTGGAAAAACAGGTCTTTTACTCTAGTGGTTGAGAATATAAATTGATAGAGTAGGTACCAAGAGCAGTTTGGCACTGTCTATCAGATCATAAATGTTTATGCTCTTTGATCTAGCAATTCTGCATGTAGGACTTTTTTCTTATGGGTGTTTTCACACATTTATGTAAAGTCCGGTGTGTAAAATCATTGCAGCATTGTTTGAAATTATAAAAGACTGAAATCAATGTGAATGTGTATCAGCAGGGACTAGTTAAGTAAATTATCGTGTATTCCCAATGATGTGTAGCTGTAACATAATAAGATAGTGTTTTATATTCTGATATGGAACATTCTCCAAGATATATTATTGAGTGGGGGGAAAAAGCATGATTCAAAACAGAGGCTAGTGTGTGTACTATTTGAATAATAAAACAAGAAATAAAAATAAAGGGGGAAATCTATAGATAGGTCTGTATAGAATACGACTGAAAGATTTTGACTGTTGATTTCCTTTGAAGAGATTCTCCTGTTCTCCTCTTCAGAGGAAAGAGAGAGGAGAGAGGGAGAGAGGAGAGAAAAGAGAGAAGAGAGGGTGACTTTTCATTATATGCCTTTTGTAATATTTAATCTCCTCCCTTTTCTCACCCCCTTGAGCATGTATTGCTTTTCAACAATTAAAAAGATTAAAAAGCTCTTAAATAGATAAGAATTTCTTAGAGCAACTAGTAAGTACACTAACTGCCAATTGTTTTGAAATGTAGACATTCTGAAAAATCAAAATGATTGTGCCGAATGTATTTTAAAAGGCTAAAATATTATAGCATTTCAAAGTACATACTCATATTTATAAGGACTTCCTCACTAGGAAGATTCCTGGGTTCTACAGAATAAAATTCTTGGCTACTTGTCTTATAGCTCTGAACAGACTTATTTTCCCAGAGAGTATGTTTATTATGTAATAGCGAGTTGCCTGACCCCCCAAAAAGCTTGTTCTATCATATTAAAATAAGGCAAAATGATTACTTTCAGATTAAGAAATTTGGACTCTAGATCTTGTTTATATAGTGAGTTCTTTAAAAAACTGAGGTCTTGGTTCTGAATAATAGTGGTTTACATAATTTATTTAGAATGTCATTTGGGGTTATCTCTGACCTATTTTTATAAAATAATCTCATCTTTAAAATAGGAGTAAAATGCTCATTTGCATAAGCCAGTAATAATAATTTAGTATTTTTCCAAGTATTTATAGTCAATGTGTTTGCCATGAACTTTTTTAAGGGATTGTTTTTAATTTTAGAAGTGCTTTAAAAAGCAATATTGGCATCTGGCTCTGTAGAAGTAGAAAACATGGTAACTTCAATGTGATATATTTGCTTTTTTCCCCTCTTAGGTCTTTGGGGTAAAAAAAATCCAAAGTTTACTCAATTTTATTTCTACATATATTACCTACAAATTATAGAGGTGAGACCTGCTTGCTGCCTGTTCATACCTGTCAGTGATACTAATACCTCCCGTCTGTACAGTGTTTCATAGTTTCCAAAGGGTTCTCGCGTGGTTCCTCACTTGAGCCTGGTGAGGAAATACCTGTAAACATGGGTAGAAGTTTTAGTCCCTTGTAAAACTCTGGTATAATATCAAAACCAGGAAATTGTTCACAGATTCTAAGGATTGGGGAAAAGAGAAAAATAAACAAATTGCTCAGGAGTAGAATTTGCAAAAAAAAACGAAACAAAACCAAAAAACTCTGGAAATAAGGCACGTTTAGCCTTACAGAGCGAGACCCTGTCTCAAAAAAAAAAAAAAAAAAAAGTGGGTGGAGAAGCACTTTTCCTGATCTAGATCAAGAAATAGAATATTGCTGGTGCTTGGAATGTCCCTACAATCCTGAAAATAGCTCATTCTCACTTTCTACCTCCCTCAGCCGCACCCCCCTGGCAAAGATAACCACAGTCCTGACTTGTAACAGCCTGTTTTTGAACTTTGTATTAATGGAATCTTACTGCATGCAACTGGTTTCTTTTGTTCAATGTTATTTTTGTGAGATTTATCCGTATTGTTATGTGTGGTTGTACGTCAGTCATTCTCTTTGCTGTTCAATATCCCATTATGGGCATATACCATAATTTATCCCTTTATCTGTTGATGGGCAGAGTCCTTTCTAGTTTTGGCTTTTAAGACTAGTGCTGTTTGGAATTTTCAGGTATATGTCTTTTGGTGAGTATTTGCATACACTTCTGTTGGGTGTATACTCAGGAGTAGAGTCACTGGACTGTGGAATAGGCATATGTTCAACTGTAATGAAACTTGCCAAATGCTTTTCCGAAGTGGTTATACCAATTTACATTTTCCACCAGTGGCGTATGAGAGTTCCAGGTGCTCCTTTGCCAATCTGCGTGTTTTCTTTTTCATTTTAACCCTTTCCTTGAGTGTGGATTGGTGTCACATATTGTGGTTCTACTTTCTTTTTTCTCTAATCTATACCTTAAATGGCAGCCTTAGAGACCTTTTTTTTTTCTTTTTTAATTTTGAAGTAATGATAGATTCACAGGAGATGGGAGAGAAATGTACCGGGAGGTCCTGTGTACCCTTCACTCAGCCTCCCCCAATTTTAGTGTTTTGTATAACTGTGGCATGTCAAAACCAGGAACTTGTTCATGGGTTCTAACGATAGGGAAAAAGTAAGGGCAAAATAATGCAAGCAAAAAGACCCGGGAAACTAACTGTTTACATTGGTGCAATCCAGAGCTTAGTCAGATTTCACTAGCTCCGCGTGCACTGCGTGTGGGTGGGGTGTGTGTGTGTGTAGCAGTCTATGCAGTTTGATCCCATGTACAAATTCATATCACCACCATTGCAATCAAGATGACCAGCTGCACCACCACCCCAGCCTCCTTGGAGCTATCCCTTTCTAGCCGCATCCACCCATCCCCAGTCCCTGGGACCCTGGCAACCACTAAACTGTCACCCCCAAATCTTTTAAGAGCATAAATCAGATCATGTCATTTCCTTCCTTAAAGCCCTCCAGCAGCTCCCTACTCAGAATAAAATCAAACTCCCTCTGTGATCCTGCCATATTCCTCTCTGGCAGCCTCTGTGCCAGGTTCTGCCTTATTCTCCACCCCAGTCCTCAAATGTGGCGAGTTTAATCCTGCTTAAGGGCTTTTGCATGAATTATTCCTCTGTGTGTGTGTGTGTGTGTGTGTGTGTCCGTGTGTCTGTGTGATGTTATAATACTCTTCCTCTTGACTTCTCAATGGCTTCTTCCTGTCATTCAGGCCTTCAGCCTAAATAAATATCATCACCTCAGGGATACCCTCCCTGACCATCCCTTCATAGTCCCTCCCTCACTCACGATCAGGCAGCCTATTCTGCTGTCTTCATAGCACTCACCACTTCATGGTATTTTTGTTTGGTTATTCTCCCATCATCCATCTACCAATGTCCAATCAATTTTTATTTTCTGTCTCTGCTCTTGGTAGTCAAGTTCCGTGAAGCTAGGGTCCTTGCTGTCTGTTTACTTCTGTATCCCCTTCAACACTGCTTGGCACCTGCTGGTGCTCACAAATACCTGGTGAATGAGAGAATTAATGCCCTCCTTGTTTATTGGGTCTCCTGGTCGCCTCTGAGTTGGGCGTCGGAGGACACCTCTCCTGGAGGCAGCATTGCGTTCATAGCCACTTCTTGTTGATATGAGCAGGGATTAGAGATCAAGCAATTACAGGTTGTTGTCAGCCAGGCTTGGGGTTTCTTTGACTATGTGATACCCTAAAAGGCAAGTCTACTCTATCTTGGGCTTCTGGGCCATTCCAGGGGCTTGAACCAAAGCCCGAAATTTTAATTCTGGAATTTGGCCCAGCTTTGTAGCTTTTGGTTTCCAGGTCTTTTCCTTAGCCTCTCCCTCAGGGCTGGCGGGGATAACTGGTTGGGCTGGAGAGACATCATTCATTTGCCCCTTGCCCAAGCTTTGCGGTTGCATCTTGAATAACGTTTCCCATTTTCAGGCTGTGAATACTGGACCTGAGTGCTTGGGAGAGACCTGGGGAAGCCTTCTTTTGCTCACCCTACCCCACAGCCTTATCTCCTGCTAAGTCTTCCCTCCCTTTCTTTCTTCATCCTATCTCTTGGTTCCCCTAGATTGCATTTTGTAGCAGAAAGGGCCTCTTTTCCTCCCTCTTCACTGCATTTTCTTTGAGACAGGATCTTGTTCTGTCGCCCAGGCTGGAGTACAATGGCACAGTCATAGCCCACTGCAGCCTCAAACTCCTGGGCTCAAGTCATCCCCACCTCAGCATGAGCCACCATGCCCAGCTAATTTTTAAACTTTTTGTAGAGACAGGGTCTCACTATATTGCCCAGGCTTGTCCAGAACTCCTGGCTTCAAGCGATCCTCCCATCTTGGTCTCCCAAAGTACTAGGATTACAGGCAAGAACCACCCACCTACCCATTTCCTTGATTCTTTCCTACCAAGTCCCTTAGTGTTCCTTGTAGTCTTGGTGGTTGCATCAGACCACAGTCTGATTGTTTCTTTCCCTGATAATAAAGATAGTTAAATTCTCAGGCCGGGTGAGGAGGGTATTCATTGATTTTTCACCCTGCCTCCTTTCTTCAGCTAATTTCCACATTTTTAATTCTGTCTTTTATGTACAATATCGCACTTCCTAATGTTGTTGTTGTTTAAAAGCAGGATACCTTCAGATGTAAGTAGCAGAAAACCTAGGTTAAATTAGCTCAATAGAGAGAATTTTAGTGACTTCACTGAAAAGCCCAAGTCATTCCAATGGCAAAGCAAGGACCTGGTTTCTCTCTATATCTCAGTGTTTTGACCTCAGCACTATTCATGACCATCTCTTCCCCTTGTGCTCAAAAGCTCCATGGCTGTTTGCTTGCAGCTTTAAATCCAGCAGAAAAGTTAAAAGTCTGCTTCTTCAACAGCTCAGTCCTGGGGTAGAAGGCCTGGAGTTGAATCCTCTTGTCTCATTGGCCTAATTTGGGTCAAGTGTTCATTGCTGAACCAACCGCTGTGGCTGGGATGATGGGATGTGCTCGTTGGACAATTAGGTTCCATCTTTGAATCTAATCAGGGGGTTAGTCCCACCCACAATACAGACTTGGGTTGTTTGGGGGAACAGGAATATGGATGCCAGGTGGGCAATCAATAAATAACTAGATGATACCGATTGTTTTCTTTTAAAATTTATAATGTTAGCTTCATTATGCTGAGTAAAAGGAAGGTACAGCTACCATTTAATGCACTTCTGAAAAAGAAGTATACCTTCTTTGTGGTAGTATGAAGCAAAAGATTTGGTAAAAGTGCCAAGAATTTTTGACCAAGGGTTAGGAGTGGTACCTTTATATGTGAACTTAGCCCCATAAATTTTGTTGTCAATTTGTATTGCAGAATGTTCCTGGATTGTTGTATAATGTTATTTGGGACTTTTTGTTTTTCTTTTTGGAGACGGAGTTTCACTTTTGTCACCCAGGCTGGAGTGCAGTGGTGTGATCTTAGCTCACTGCAATCTCTGCCTTCTGGGTTCAAGTGATTCTCCTGCCTCAGCCTCCCAAGTAGCTGGAACTACAGGCATGTGCCACTGCGCCTGGCTAATTTTTTGTATTTTTAGTAGAGATAGGTTTCACCATGTTGGCCAGGCTGGCCTTGAACTCTTGACCTCAGCTGATTGGCCCGCCTCAGCCTCCCAAAGTGCTGGGATTACAGGTGTGAGCCACTATGCCCAGCCTATTTGGGAGTATTTTTAAACAAAATTCAGGTACAGATTATAGGAATACATTCTTAAATTATTTCTCTAGAGATAACAGAGCAGTTTTAAGAGAGAGAAATACATGCTGATTATCTGTAAATTGAATTCAGGATGTGTAGAAAGAAAAATAATTTAGTTTTTATGCAATAATATGATTTTTATAGGATAGTTGATTATCAGCCCTACCCTATAATAAATTCTTTGAATTAATGTCTGTTCTTGATATCTGGGGCTCTGTATTTTCACTTCTATATTCTTAAAAAGAAAAAAAGTTTTTGTAAGATGCTTCGCTGAAGTTCGAACCTGTGTTCCAGGAATGGTTGAATCCCACAGACCGCCAAGCTCTTCCGTTTGTGGAATCAGCAAGGTGGAATGATGAAGGGCTCGGCTGGAGCCAGCCTGTGCCTTTACACAAATGACATCATTTCTTAGTTTCCTTAGCTATAAAAATGGGGGAAGGCTGGGTACAGTGGCTCACACCCGTAATCCCAATATTTGGGGAGGTTGAGGTGGAAGGATCACTTGAGCCCAGGAGTTTGAGACCAGCTGGGGCAACACAGCAAGACCCTATCTATACAAAAATAGAAAAAAATTAGCTGGGCATAGTGGTGCACACCTGTAGTCCCAGCTACTTGGGAGCTGAGGTGGGAGAATTGTTTGAGCTCAAGAGGTTGAGGCTACAATGAGCTGTGATTGTGCCACTGCACTCTAGCCTGGGTGACAGGGTGAGACCATCTTAAAATAATAACATAACGTAAAAATGGGGAAATAACTGGAATCACTTCAGTGTTGTTGTGGGTAGTAAATGAAATAATCCACATGCACTGTCTGGTACATAATGTGTTCAATATGTGTTAGCTAATAGTAACATGGTCTTATTTCAATGAATCTAAGATGACCGCTTGCAAGTCATACCATTGTTTTATGTACTACGTAAAAAGAAACACAGGTAATTATATTGCAAAATGTGATTCATTTGAAGATTTCAAAACATATGAAAAAATGTGTCTTGAAATCAATGATATATGGTTTTAGGGCTGCCTCTGACTTGGAAGTCCTGGGAATTGTTTGCATACTCATAAATATACACCATCTGTCTTGGTTTAAACATAATAGAGTATGATCTAAAGTTTCTTTTCAATTTTGTTTTTGTTCTAAACTTAACATTGAATTTGGCCTCGTGTTGCAACACTAGAAATTTAATAATCACTCATTTATTCTGTAGGCTTAAATAATGGATTATATAACACCTAAGATTGGCTTGGCAACTTCGGTTATTTACTTTTCTTCAGTGATTTAGAAAAAATATGAGACATGTTTTTGGACATCGTTGCTATTGCTTGAATAAACCTGTTTGGGAGGTAAAGGCAGGTTAAATGGTAGTGCCGGTAACCTCTTAGAGTAGCACGAACTATTGGCAGAAAGCCTGCTTAGGTAAACACCTTTGATACACCCAGCACATTCAGTTTAGAAAGTACAATATTGATATTTGAAAGCAATGCGTGGTAGTTGATTTTCCACTAAAATTTAAATGTGGACAGGGTATTATAGAGCTTGAATGATAGTCACAGGCTATTTAAGGACCAACTTGTAGAGTAAAAAGTTGCTATGTAATACGCTTAGCATAAATTTAGAAGTAAAACCTGCAAGGATAGCATATAGCCTTGTGAGAATGCCATTTCCCTTAGGAGCCTGGTATTTAGAATGTTATGAATGGGATATTTATTATAAGCCTGTTTTTTTTGTAAAGGCTTGCTTTTTGATATTAATATTGAAATGAATTACGGAAGCCGTTTTGGGGACTTGACCTGTTTACTGACTGCGTCATTCATGGCTTAACCTCATCAGCCAAATGTCAGCAGGATTCTGCTTTTAAGACAACCACATGAGAACAGATGAGCCATTCGGTCATCTTGTCATAAGCCCCAGAGGCTATCTCCTGGCACATCTGGCATGTGATGTATTTAAGTATTATTTGAGGGTGTTGAGTATAATTTTGTAAAAGACTGTACCCTGGTACATTCCATATCTTAATGCATTCTGAAACAGCGATATTATTTTTTTTTGGAAACCCCAGAGGGTTTATTTACTGTATTTTGCATAGGGTTCATCTGAACAGTACAAAAAGTACCTTTTTATTTTAGAAAAGGAGTTTTGGTTTAGAAAATGGAACCTGAATTGAAATAAA
Source organism: Homo sapiens (assembly GCF_000001405.40). Lineage (NCBI taxonomy): Eukaryota > Metazoa > Chordata > Mammalia > Primates > Hominidae > Homo > Homo sapiens. The sequence continues at coordinate 35,590 of NW_017852929.1, read as the reverse complement.
AGTAAAATTATTCTCAAAAGGAGACAGTTTATCGATTTAAGTACATTTCGTATCGCCTATGTAGTAGCGTTGTTTATATTTAGAATAGACGCAAGCCAGTCCACGATCTCTCAGCAAGACTTGACAAAAGGATATGATTTTGTCACAGTTACTCCCAGTGTTTCATTTCAAGCAGTATGAGTCAAGGATTTGGTGTTTCTCATACTAGAATAAATTGGACTTTATTCAGGAAAAAAACCCAACTTGTTAATTTGAAGTGCATGTCTCAAAGCCTAAACATTATTTTAGTTAGTATTTCTAAGTAGATAATACATACATATGGTATAAAAGGGTGATTGTGAAAAATATGCCTCCTTTCCCCTCTGTCCCTTGTTAACCAGCTTGCCTCCAGAGAAAGAGCTGTTCTTTTTTTTAATTTTATTTTAAATTTTTTTTAGAGATGGGGTCTTGCTATGTTGACCAGGCTGGTTTTGAACTCCTGGCCTCAAGTGATCCTCCCATCTCGGCCTTCCAAACTGCTAGGATTACAGCCGTGAGCCACCAGGCCCGGCCGAGCTTTTCTTACCATGGTATTCTTGTGTTCTTCCAGAGATTTTTTTAAAATGCCTCTTCCTTTTCTCACTCCCTCCCTCTTTTTCTTTTAACACAGATGGGAGCATTGTGTGTGCATTGTTGTATACTTGCTTTTTGCACATACGGATCAGGGATTTCTCTGTTTCCTTACCTCCTGATCTGCCTGCGTGGCAGGAACATTCACTATGCAATGACTATCCCTGTGCTCGTCAACGTTCCCGTGTGACCTTGCAGTTAGGTGGGACCATGTAACTACTTCTGGCTAGCAAACTGTGAGAAGTGAGTTGTCCCACTTCGGGGCTGAAGCACTAGGAACCTCCAGCTCTGCCACAGAAGCTGTGTGTCATGTGGTGGAGCCTCTATCAGCCTAGATCCCTGAGTGATTACGTGAAGCCGAAGCTGGCCCTTCCCCCCGGCCCCTGCTCAGACCCAACCTATGCTGAACACGTAGTTGAGCAAGAAATAAACTTCTGTTATGTTAATTTGTTTCTACATCACACAGCTCCTCTTGATATAGCTGATTTCTTTTTAATAGCTGTGAAATTCATAACACTTTGAATGAACCCAGTTCAGATGATCAAATGCTTAAGAACAAAAAAGCATCTAATTAAAGAATAATAACTTTAAATATACAAATATCAGATCAATGCATCTTATCCCAATGTGTTGCCACGCAAATATCTGTATACATAATTTCTAATTAAACTTTTTAATTTTTTTAAATTTATTTTTCTGAGATGGCGTCTCGCTCTGTCGCCCAGGCTGGAGTGCAATGGCGCAATCTCAGCTCACTGCAACCTCCATCTCCTGGGTTCAAGCAATTCTCCTGCCTCAACCTCCGAGTAGCTGGGACTACAGGCACATGCCACCACGCCCGGCTGATCTTTACATTTTTAATAGAGACAGGGTTTCACCATGTTGGCCAGGCTGGTCTCGAACATCTGACCTCGTGATCCGCCTGCCTCAGCCAACCAAAGTGCTGGGATTACAGGCGTGAACCACTGCACCCAGCCCAGCCCATAATTAAAAAAAAAAAAAAAGGAATATATGCTTATTGAAAAGTATAAAGAAGAAATAAGTACTTTATTATTTGAAATGAGGCTTGATTCTTTAATATTAAGGCTTATAATTTTTGCATTAGAATTTGATATTAATTTTCTCGTCATTCTAAAGGAAGATAAATACCAACGCCATACATGCTCGCTGTTCTCATTGAATACTACAGTCAATAGAGAGGAGTATTGAAAAAGACTGTCTCTACCAGAAACTTAACAGCCATAGGGAAATGGTACATTCGCTAGAAACAGTTAAGTAACAATACAAAGCGCCCCTGAGTCTAGTTGCTGGGGAGGCCAAATGTGAACTGGCTCTAGAAAGATCTGGGTGGGCTGAGAGACCATGTGGTAATAGCATAAGCGAAGACAGAGTGGACATGAGTCTGGCTGCTTTGCAGGTCAGACGGACAGAAGAGGTGCCAGGCAGGTAGAGGGAAGAGAGGACACTTGGCTTCTGTAGAAGTCGTGAGTTGTCGGGGAGATTGGATCAGGAAATGAGATGATAAATTGTAATTTTATAGGCCTGCTGGGTAGAAAGTAGGGACTTTTCCTTTCATGCCCTGAGGATAGCATGGGATCCAGGGACTGGAGTAGCATGGTAACTAAGGGCCAGGTGCTGGAGGCAAGTGGCCTGGGTTCCAGTCCTGGCTTTGCCACCTTCTAGCCGTGGAAAGTGCCAGCAGGGTGCACGGGTAAGTGTATAGGTAATGTGAGCTGTGATGATGACTGCTGTTGTGCTACTTGGGAAGGAACCTGGTGACACAGAGCGACACCTAATGAGGGAATAGATTAGGCCCCATTCACAAAGTGTGTTACTGTGTTTACACAAATGCTGGATGATAGTCTTTCTAGGATGTTTCATAAGCACTCCTTTATTGGGCCCAAAGTTTAGACTAAGTGCTTTACAAAGGTTCTTTAAAACAAAAACAAAAACAGAAACATTTATTGGCTGGGCACAGTGGCTCATGCCTGTAATCCCAGCACTGTGGGAGGCCAAGGTGGGAGGATGGCTTGAACCCAGGAGCTCAAGACCAGCTGGGGCAACATAGTGAGAACCTCCCATCTTTTAAAAAAACAAAAACAAAAAATTAGCCAGGCATGGTGGTGCATGCTTGTAGTTCCAGCTACTTGGGAGGCTGAGGCAGGAGGATCTCTTGAACCCAGGAGTTTGAGGCTGCAGTGAGCCATGATGGTGCTTCTGAACTCCAGCCTGGACAACAGAGTAAGACCCTGTCTCGAATGAATGAATGAATGAATGAATGAATGAATGAATGAAAATTTTTATTGAATAACTACTATGCTCTAGGTTGTCTGGCAAGTGGAGTACTGGATATAATAAACAGGGTAGAGACCAGAGGAAGTAAATACTGTTTATCCATTCTGTACATGGTTACTAAGTTAATGTCAGGTTTCTATTTGGCCCTTGAAAAACCACTCCAAGTAGGTGAGAAGTGTCTGTAAGTAAGTTAAATTTTTGTATGATGACGGATGTCTTGATAAAGCGCAGTGGCATTCAGAGGGAAGTTTAGTTGGCCCTGCCCTGGATGTCCTTGCTTTAGTATCTTGCTGCTTTATTGTAACATGCTTTCTTAAAACCTTCTTAGAAGTACTAGTTGGATCCCAACTGTGGCTCCTCCAGTCAATGGTAAGTTAGTATTTGTGTAGTGACTTTTTTTTTTTTCCTTTTTGACACTGGACCTACTTCCATTTACAGTCAGATACTGCTTAAAACCTTTTTGTGGGCAAAGTAGGTCAAACCTAAAGTGCACAGAAGGGAACTGTTCAGGTAGAGAGGCAGATTCTGTAGAAGCGCCTGTCCCGTTTTCCCTTCCCTGCCGTTGGATCACTTTTGCTAGAGCTGTGCAGCCTTCATGCCCAAAGCTTGGAGTCTCTCCAAAAGTATTCTAGAATGAGATTCTGCCAAGTGCTAGCATTAAAGCTTCAGTATTGGGACTTTGGAGTGCCCCTTCTGCCCTTTGGCCTTTTTAAATGGAAACTGGGCGAGGCTGGTAAGCTATACCTTACTATTCTAAGGTGACCACCACTTGGAGTGTGGGTTTAAGACTGCTGCCAACCTGGATTTCCAGTACAGCTCTGCTGCTTGCTAGTGGGGTGACTTTGGACAATAATAATAAAGCTATTTGTCAATTATTGAAGCTCTTTACTATTTGCCAGGCAGCAATGAGGCCAAGCACTTTTCATGAGTTGTATTTCCTCCTCTTGATAAACTCACAAGATAGGTCGTATTCTTGTCCCTATTTTTGAGACGGTGAGATGCAATGGAGTCAGCCAACCCAGTTCCACCACATACCAGTAGCCTTGGCCAAATCATGTGCTTCATCTTTAAGCCTCAGACAAGACCTACCCCATCAGGTTGTTGTTGCAAGGAACAAGTGAAGTAACCTGGCACCCAGCTGTTGCCCAGCACATGTTAGGGGCTGACTTGCCTAAGGCTGCACTGAGAGTATTTTGCAAGTGGACTAAAGTTGAACTGCTTTGGGAAGATATTTGGCTTCTTACTTTGTAAGTTGGAGTAAAGATTGTTTCTAAATCTAGTTCTTTTCCTTTTTGTCTCTAGATTAAACTCTTACTATATCATTCAGTTAGGAGCTCTCATGTTTAGCCAACGTTCTCAGAAAGTGATCAGTTCAAGGGCTGTGGCATGGAGGGGAAGTGATGCAAGCTTTATTATGATACAGATGAGTAACCATATAAAATGGAAAATAATATTTGTTCTCCCCACATTCCCATCCCCTCTTACCAACCTAATATTTATCTATCTATCTATTTTGAAATATTTGAGGCAGAGTCTCTCTCTGTCACCCAGGCTAGAGTGCAGCGGTGCAATCATAGCTCACTATAGCCTCAACCTCCTGGGCTCAAGCAGATCCTCCCACGTTGGCCTCCTGAGTAGCTGGGACTACAGGTGTGCACTACCATGCCCGGCTAATTGTTTAATTTTTTATAGAGACAGGGTCTCACAATGTTGCCCAGGCTGGTCTCGAACTCCTGGTCTCTAGTGATCCTCTCAGCCTCCCAAAGTGCTGGAATTACAGGCGTAAGCCACCACGCCCTGGCCATAATATTTATTTTTTTATTGCCATTTATAACTTGGCTTACACTGCTACTGGCTATTTACTAAAAATCAGAGCAAACTTTGCCTTATTATTATGTATTGCATATATATTTTTGAAAGGTCACTCTTGCAGTTTTACTAAAAAAAAAATAAATAAAAGTTTCAGTGAATTCCGGAAGTTTGGGAATTCTCGGTTTACGCTAGCCCTGTCCTGTGTTTCTGTTTGGCTCTGTCCTCAGGCCTTGCCACCATTTTCTCTCGGTGAAAGAACTTGGCTTCACATTCTGTTCAGTTTCATGAACCTGCCTGTCACTTTGAGGCAGCGTTTGGGATTCTGCTTCATTAGCCTTTGAACTCATGAACCAAGTTGAGAGGATTTGCTACTATAGACAATTATTTGATCTTCGAGATATTTTGAACAGTTCCCAAGTGCAACACCAGTGGTTGTCCAAAAGACACAGAGAAGTGATGTGAAATTTTAATTATGTAAAAAAAAAAAAAAAAAAAAAAAAGAAAGAAAGAAAAAAGCCCTGTGGCATGGTTGATGTCAGTGCTATGGAGTGAGCCTTTTAGTAGTGCGGTCAAGGACACTACTTTTTTTTTTTTTTTTTTTTGACACGGAATCTCGCTCTGTCACCCAGGCTGGAGTGCAATGGTGCCATCTTGACTCACTGCAACATCTGCCTCCCAGGTTCAAGCAATTCTTCTGCCTCAGCCTCCCAAGTAGCTGGGATTACAGGCGCCCGCCACCACACCTGGCTAATTTTGTATTTTTTAGTAGAGATGAGGTTTCATCATGTTGGCCAGGCTGGTCTTGAACTCCTGACCTTGGGTGATCCACCTGCCTTGGCCTCCCAAAGTGCTGAGATTACAGGTGTGAGCCACTGCGCCCGGCCTTTTTTTTTCTTCTTCTTCTTCTTTTTTTTTTTTGAGACAGAGTCTCACTCTATTGCCCAGGCTGGAGTGCGGTGGCCCGATCTCGGCTTACTGCAACCTCTGCCTCCCGGGTTCAAGCGATTCTCCTGCCTCAGCCTCCTGAGTAACTGGGATCACAGGCATGCGCCACCATGCCCAGATAATTTTGTATTTTTAGTAGAGATGGGGTTTCACCATGTTGCCCAGGCTGGCCTCGAACTCTTGACCTCAGATGATCCACCAGCCTCAGCCTCCCAAAGTGCTGGGATTACAGGCGTGAGCCACCTGCCCGGCCTAACATTTCAAAATGCTAAAAACAGGTTCTTGTAGTCTTTTCCTTGGGTCCAGCATCGTTTGTTGCTGACTATATCAAGCAGCTACCAAGATGGCGCAGTGAAGGTGATGCGCAGTGGAGACTGTTCCCCTCGCCGCTCCCTGGTTCCTGCAGAGAGTCCTGTTGGCAGCTCGTTGGAACAATGGTTTTCCCCTGGAGTTTGAGGAGCTTGTCTTGGGTGTGGTGCATCCCTACACCATGTGTACAGTTTCCAGACTGCTATGATTTTATCTCTCAGCAATGCGCCAAGAGGTTTTAGTGAAAATTTAAAAACCGCCAAATCGCCTATCAAACCGAGTTTGAAAAGAGACCTCTTGGGAAAGGACAAGCTAACTATTCTAAGTGGTCTACGATCCAAAGCATTTCCTGGGCTGAGTGTTTATCAAAGCTGAGCTTTACTTCCAAACTAAGCTTGGGAAGGATCTGGGAGTGTTTCCCAGCTGACTGGGGGCGGGGAGAAGAGGAGGATGCGAGTGTTAAAGAACAGAGAAAATATCACTCTCTTTTCTTTTACACAGTTATCTGCTGAAATCTGTCTATAGATATGGCTTGCAAACTAGGTGTTGTTTTGGAGGAGAGAGAGGATAGGTCTGCTAAGTGTTAATTTAGAAATTATATACAATATCTTAATTTTATTTTGGGAATGGAACATTGGGTAAGATTAGCTTTTAAATGGATCAGCTTTACTCTTCAAGGTTAGAAAAATGCATAGAAAATAGCATTATTTCCCTGTTAATTGTCATTAATCTCAACTCACACTATTTTTTTTTTTTTTTTTTTTTTGCTTTGACTCTTACCATCTCAGAATTCAAGGTCTAAATTGACATATTTGGGAAGAGCAGGGTGTTGGGGAAACAGAACTGGTAAGTAGATGGTTTTCCTCTCCCATCTGACTCAGTGTTAGAGAACTCTGTTGGAGACAGTGTTAATTTCAATATCTTGATGCCCGATTTTATCGTTACAGACATCCTGTTATACAGAATAGCTTATTTGCTCTCTTAATAGAAATCTTGTAAAGAAAATCCATCTTCCTTATTTCACTGTTTCTTTCCCTAAAAGTTTTTGTATACCACCCCTTTATCAAGAATTAAGATGTTGGGGAAAAAAAAAAAACAAATCTTTTTGGGCTAAATAATGCCAGCTTCACTTCCCTCAATGATGACACATTTATCTGTATTTTAAAGTTGTTTTTTTTTTTTTCTCCCTTTCCCACTACACTGCTCTGCATGTGGGTTCCCTAGCTGAGAAGCTGCCATTGATGGTGAAAGACTTTAATCTAAATTTAGATTCTCTTCAGAGGTTTCGTGGAATACTTCCTTAAATTAAGCCACAGACTGCAAAAGCTGCTGCTGAGTGGGGCTTCCAGGTTTGTTTTTTTTTTTTTTCAGCTCTAGAAATAAAGAAGACAGGGCAGGAAGGACTGGCTCTCACTCTCGGCTTCTTTGGGAGATTCTGCCATTGTAGACAGAATCAGTAGCAGCTTCTGTCATGAATTTAAAACTCAGGAGAGAGGATTTGGTGGTAATCTGATGGAAGTGGAAAACAATCACGACTCTGAGGGAGTGTGGGTGAAACAAGTTGCTTTGTTTAGGTTGTGTTGGAGACTGTAGGTAGTAATAGACAATGATAGGACATCTTTTTGTCTGATGCCTGTAAGTGTACCTGGAGACTTTGAAGCCATACTTGTTAGTTCATTCCTGCATTACTATAAAGAAATACCTGAGACTGAGTAATTTACAAAGAAAAGAGGTTTGATTGGCTCACGGTCCTGCAGGCTGTACACAAAGCATGGTGTTGGCATCTGCTTAGCTTCTGGGGAGGCCTCAGGAAGTTTCCAATCATAGCGGAAGACAGAGAGCAGGCATCACATGGTGAGGGAAGGGGTGAGGTGCCAGGCTCCTTAAACAACCAGATCTCATGGGAACTACCAGGGCAAGAACTGACTCATTACCATGGGGATGGCACCAACCCATTCATGAGGGGTCTGTGCCCATGACCCAATATCTCCCAGTAAGCCCCATCTCCAGCACTGGAGGTCACATTTCAGTATGAGATTTGGAGAGGACACATATCCAAACCGTATCACCATGAGTTAAACCAATACATCAAATTTTTAGGGACAGTTGGAAGATCTTCAGAGTCAAGACAAAAGAGTTGAAAATGGGGTGTTGGACTATAACCATGAGTATTTTATACAATCTCTCTTTCTCCTTGAATCATAGAAATGGTGTTTGAAAGCTCCTTTCAATATAGAGAACCCCCTTACCTGTCAGTGCCCAAAGGCCCCCAACTGGGGAGATCTGAAGTGAGAGGAGGAAGCTGCCCAGGTTTTCCTGTCCCTGGAGAGCCATGGGTCCTGAGGATTGGAGCTTATCATTGAGCAGGCTGTTGTCACATACACAGCCTTCCAGCTTCTATTATGATGCATTGTACTGTTTATATAATCTTGTATTTGGGAAATGCCTAATTATATTTTTTAAAATTACTCCAATATCTGTCACTGTTAGATAAACACTTCTAGAATCTCATTCCCAGTGTTTTCTTTCTCCTGGCATGGGTCAACAACCTTCCTGTGAGCATATTTTCATTATATAATGGCCCCTTTATTTACATATTTACTCTTTCTAAAAGGTTAATTTCTTTGTGGGGAGGGAAGGTGATATATACACAGTGTAATATTTAAACTGTACAAGATGGCTTATTTGGAAAGGAAATCTCTTCACGCCTGGCCTTTGCCTTCAAGTTCTCTTCCCCAGAGGCAATCCACTGGTAACAATTCCTTGTATATTTTAGCAAAGATACGCTAGATAAAAATACTTGTACATATATTCTTTCTCTACCTCCCCATCCCCCTTTAAGAAGAAGCACACTATACACTGTTCTTTACTTTGCTTTTTTCCTCAATATATCCTGGAGATCAGGAATTCAAGACCAGGCTGGGCAAAATAGCGAGACCCTGTCTCTAAAAAAAAAAAAAAAAAAAAAAAAAAAAAAAAAAAAAAAAATTGGCATGTTAGCTTCTCAGGAGGCTGAGATGGGACGATCGCTTGAGCCCAGAAGGTTGAGGCTGCAGTGAGCTGTCATTGCATCACGTACTGCAGCCTGGGTACAGGGCAAGACCCTGTCTAAAAATAACAATGCAGAAATAAATAGGAACTATCTTAGAGATCCTCCCATATCAGTATAATATAGAGCTGTCTTTAAAAAAAAGTTGAGGTAAAATTCTTGCAACATAAAATTTACGTGTATAATTAAGTGGCTCTTAGTACATTCCCAGTGTTGTACAACCATCACCACTATCTAACTCTAGAACATTTTCATCACCCCCAAAAGAAACCCAATACTCATTTAGCAGTCACTTTCTGTTCCCCCAACCCTAGGCTTTACAACTACTAATCTGCTTCTGTCCCTATGAATTTGCCTGTTCTACATGTTTCATGAAAATGAAATCATATGTATGTGGCCTTTTGTGTTGGTTTCTTTCACTTGGCATAACGTTTTCAAGGTTCAATCCTGTCGTAACTTGTATCAATACTTCATTCCTTTTTCTTGCTAAGTAATATTTGATTGCATGGATAGACCACATTCTTTTAATTGATTGACATTTGGATTGTTTCTGCTTCTTGGCTATTGGGAATCATGCTGCTATGAACATTTGTGGGCAAGTTTTTGTGTGAACATATGCATATGTTTTTATTCTTGGATATGTACCTAAGAATGGAAATGCTGGGTCATATGGAATTCTGTATTTAAATTTTGAGGGACTGCCAAACCGTTTTCCAGTCACTGCATCATTTTACCATCCCATCAGTGGTGTTCAAGGGTTTCAGTTTCTCCACATCCTAGTTTACACTTGTTATTTTCCATCATCGTTTTGTTTTTTGCTGTTTAGTTATTATTACAGGCATCCTAAAGGGTAGGAAGTAGTATCTTATTGTGGTTTTGATTTGCATTTCCCTAATGACTAATGAGGATGAGCGTATTTTCATGTGCTTATTGGCTACTTGTATATCTTCCTTAGAGAAATGTCCACTATTTATCCATTATTTGTATATCTTCCTTAGAGAAATGTCCAATAATTTTTGTATTTTTAGTAGAGACAGGTTTCAGCATGTTGGTCAGGCTGGTCTTGAACTCCTGACCTCAGGTGGTCCGCCTGCCTTGGCCTCCCAAAGTGCTGGGATTACAGGCGTGAGCCACCACGCTCAGCATATATATTCTTGATATTAGACTCATCAGATATATGATTTCCAAATATTTTCTCCCATTTTATGGGTTATCTTTTTACTTTCTTAACAGTGTTCTTTGCTGCATAAAAGTTTTAAATGATGGAGTTCTTTATTTTTAAATTTTGTTGTGGCCGGGTGCAGTGGCTCACGCCTGTAATCCCAGCACTTTGGGAGGCCGAGGTGGGTGGATCACCTGAGGTCAGGAGTTTGAGACCAGCCTGGCCAACATGGTGAAACCCCGTCTCTACTAAAAATACAAAAAAATTAGCCAAGTGTGGTGGTGGGCGCCTGTAATCCCAGCTACTCTGGAGGCTGAGACAGGAGAATCGCTTGAACCCAGGAGGCGGAGGTTGCAGTGAGCTGAGATCATGCTATCGTACTGAAGCCTGGGCGACAGAGTGAGACTCTGTCTCAAAAACAAAAACAAAACCAAAAAAAGCGTTGTTTGTGCTTTTGGTATCATATTGAAGAAATCATTACCTAATCCAAAGTCATAACTAATTTACCTCTATGTTTTATTCTAAGAGTTTTAGTATTTTAGCTCTTAAATTTAGATCTTTGTTCTATTCTGAATTAATCTTTATATATAGTGTGACATAGGGGGGTCCAGATTTATCCTTTTGCTAGTGGATATCCAGTTGTTCCTGCACCATTTGTTGAAAAGACTGTTGAAAAAGACTTTTCCCCCATTGAATGGTATTGGCACCCTCTTGAAAAAAAAAATTGACTGTAAATATATGGCTTTATTTCTGGACTCTCAATTGTATCCTGTTGATCTATAATGTCTCTCCTTATGCCAGTACCACACTGTTTTGATTACTATTGCTTTGTAGTAAGTTTTAAAATAGGAAGTGTGAGTCCCCCAGCTTTGTTCTTTTTCCAGATCGTTTTTGCTATTTGGGCTCCCCTGTAGTTTTATATGAATTTTAGGATGAGCATATCCATTTCTATAAAAAAGGCACTTGGGGCTTTGATAGAAATTGCTTTGAATCTGTAGGTTAATTTTAGGAATATTGTCATCTAATATTATGTCTTCATATTATTAAGTCTGTGAACACAGGATGTCTAAGTCTTCAGTTTCTTTCAATAATGTAATTTTCAGTGTATGAGTCTTGTATTTTTTTGGTTAAGTTTATTTCTAAGTATTTTATTCTCTTTGATGCTAATGTAGATGGAATTCTCTTCTGAATTTCATTTTTGGATTGTCATTGCTGGTATATTGAAATACAGCTGATTTTAGTATGTTGATCTTGTATTTTGCAGTTCTGCAGAGCTTATTCATTAGCACTAACAGCTTTTGTGTGGATTCTTTAGGGTTTTCTATATATAAGATTATGTCATTTTTCAATAGAGATAGTTTTACTTCTTCCATTCCAATCCAGATACCTTATTTGGCAATTGCAGTCTAGTCTTGTTCCTGTTATTAGTGGGGAAGCCATTTGGTCTTTCACCAGTAAATATGATGTTAAGCAGTGGGTTTTTCATAGATGTCCCTTATCTAGTTGAGGGAGTTTCTATTCCAAGGATGTTGATATTTTTATCATGAATGTTGGAATCTGTCAAAAAAAATGTTCTGCATCAATTTGGATGATATTGTGGTTTTCCCCCTTTATTCGATTAACATGGCATATTACATTGATTGATTTTTGTATGTTGAACCCTTGCATTCCTGGGATAAATCCCTTGATCATGGTGTATAATCCTTTTAATATGCTCTATGTTAAATTTGTGCATATTTCGTTGAGGATTATTTGCATCTGTACTCATAAAGGATATTGGTCTGTAACATCTTTGTCTGACTTTGGTATCTGGGTGATACTGGCCTCACAGAATGAGTTAGGAAATGGCTCCTCTTCTTTTATTTTTGGAAGAATTTATGAAGGGGTTTTGTTAATTTAAAAAAAAAAATGTTTATGGTAAAGCTCACCAGTGAAGCCATCTGGTCTTAGAGTTTTTCTTTTTGGAAGTTCTTTTGGTTATTGAATTAATCTGTTTGTTATAGGTCTATTCATTTTGCTCTTTCTTCTTGAGTCTTTAAAAAATTTTTAATTTTTGTGTTGAGTCAGTTTTTGTAGTATGCATATTTCTAAGAATTTGTCCATTTCATCTGGGTTACCTAATTTGTTGGCATACAATTATTCATAGTATTTTTTTTTAAGTTGAGTAGTAGTGTCCCTAGTTTCTCTTTCTCTCTCTTTCTTTCAAGACAGGGTCTCACTCTGTCAGTGGTATGATCTCAGCTCACTGCAGCTTCAGCCACCCAGGCTCAAGTGATCCCCGCACCTCAGCCTCCCAAGTAGCTGGGATTACAGGTGTGTGTCACCACACCCAGCTAATTTTTGTCTTTTTTGTAGAGACAGGGTTTCACTGTGTTGTCAGGCTAGTCTCAAAACTCCTGAGCTCAGGTGATCCACTCGCTTCAGCCTCGCAAAGTGCTGGGATTACAGACATGAGCCACTGCACTGGCCCGTGTCCCCACTTTCATTTTTTTATTTCTAGTGATTGAAATCTTCTCTCCTTTTTCCTTGGTCAGTCTATCTAAAGATTTGTTAGTTTTATTGATCTTTTCAAAGAACCAACTTTTGATTTTCTTAATTCTCTGTATTGCTGCTTTATTCTCTATTTCACTTATCTGTGCTCTAATCTTTAATATTTCCTTTCTTCTGCTTGCTTTGGGTTGAATTTGCTGTTCTTTTTCTAATTCCTTGAGATGGAAGTTTAGGTTATTGATTTCAGGTCTTCCTATTTCAATATATGCATTTATAGCTATGAATTTTGTTCTCTTCACTGCTTTTGTTATATGCCACACATTTTGATATGTTGTATTTTCATTCTCATTCTTCTCAAAGTATTTTCTAATTTCTCTTGTCATTTTTTTCTTGACCTATTGATTAACAGTGTATAAGTTCACATTTTTGTAAATTCCAAATTTTCTTCTGTTATTGATTTCTAATTTTATTCCAGTATGGATGCAGAAGATACTGTGTATTACTTCATTCTTTTAAAATTTATTAAGACTTGTTTTGTGGCCTAATATGTATCCTAAAGAATGTTCCACATGTGCTTGAGAAGAATACACTTTCTGCTACTGTTGGGTAAACTGTCCTGTATATGTCCGTTAGGTATAGTTGCTTTATAGTATTTTTTAAGTCTTCTGTTTTCTTGTTGATCTTCTGTTTAGTTGTTCTGTTGTTATTGAAAATGGAGTATTGCTGTCTCCAACAATTATTGTAGAGCTATTTCTCCCTCAATTTTGTTAGTTTTTTTCCTCATATATTTGGGGCTCTATTGTTAGGTTCATATATGCTTATAATTGTTGTATCTTCTTGATGGTTTGACTCTTTTATCATTATATAAGGTTTTTCTTTGTCCCTTATAACAATTTTTGTCTTAAAGTCTGTTTTATCCGATATTAATATAGCCACTGCAGTTGGTTACTGTTTGCATGGGTTATCCTTTTCTATCCTTCTATTTTCAACCTATTTGTGTAATTGGATCTAAAAGTAATCTCCTGTTTATGTTAAGTAAATATTTTCTAGTGTATTATTTTAATTCCCTTTAGTACAAATTTAAATAGTATTTTCTTAGTGGTTGCCCCGTGGTTTACAATTAACATCTTAATTTATAACAATCTAGTTTAACTTAATACCAACTTAGTTTCAATGATATATAAAAACTTTGCTCTTATATAGTTCTGTCCACCACTTTATCTTGTTATTGTCACAGATTATATCTTTATACATTATGTGCTCATCAGTGTGTATTTGTAATAATTTTTATGCAGCCATCTGTTAAATCATATTTTAAAAAGAAGAGTTACAAGCCAAAAATAACATTACTATTCCTTTTTTAAATTTGCCTATATATTTTCCTTTATTAGTGTTCTTTATTTCTCAGGTTACTGTCTAATGTTCTTTTTTTTTTTTTTTTTTTTTTTTTTTTAGACGGAGTCTCACTTTGTCACCCAGGCTGGAGTGCAGTGGCATGATCTCGGCTCACTGCAAGCTCCGCCTCCCGGGTTCACGCCATTCTCCTGCCTCAGCCTCCTAAGTAGCTGGGACCACAGGCCCCGCCACCACACCCAGCTACTGTTTTGTATTTTTAGTAGTGACAGGGTTTCACCGTGTTAGCCAGGATGATCTCGATCTCCTGACCTTGTGATCTGCCCGCCTTGGACTCCCAAAGTGCTGGGATTACAGGTGTGAGCCACCGCTCCCAGCCGTCTAATGTTCTTTTGTTTCAGCTTGAAAGACTCCCCTCAGCATTTCTTGTAGAGCAGGTTTACTATCTACAAACTTTCTTGGTTTTTAGCTTTGTAATGTCTTCATTTCTCCTTTGTATTTGAAGGATAGTTCTGGCACATATAGAATTTTTGGTTGACAATGCTTTTCTTTTAGTAATTTGAATATATAATTCCATTGCCTTTGGCTCTATGGTTTCTGATGCGATGTCAGATGTGACTTTTATTGAGGATGCCTTCTACATGATTAGTTGTTTCTCTCTTGCTGTTTTCAGGATTCTCTCTTTGTCTTTGTCATATAACAATTTGATTATAATGTGTTCCTGTGTGTATCCCTTTGAATTTATCTTACTTAAAAGTTTGTTTAGCTTCTTGAATGTGTAGATTCATGTTTTTCATCAAGTTTGGGACACTTGCAGTCATTATTTTTAAAAATAATTTTCCTGCTCCTTTCTCTTCTCTCATTCTGGGATTCCTATTATGCTTATGTTATGCCAGATGGTATTCCACAGACTTCTTAGACTCTCTTTATTTAAAAAAAATTTTTTTTTATTTCTGTTCATCAAGCCAGAAAACCTCAAGTTACCTATTCTCAGGTTTATCTATTCTCATGACTTCATTTTTTACCTGTTCAAATCTGCTGTTGAGCCTCTCGTGAATTTTTAATTTACATTATTGTACTTTTCAAACCCAGAATTTTTATTTGATTGCTTTTTTATAATTTTTGTCACTTTGTTGATATTCTGTATTTGTTGAGACACTGTTCTCATGGTTTCCATTAGTTCTTTAGACCTGGCTTTTGTTTTTGTTTTTAGCTCTTCAAGCATATTTAGGACCATTGATTTAAATAGTCTTTGTCTAGTAAGTCCAGTGACTAGGCTTCCTCAGGGGCAATTTCTGTTAATTTCTTTTTTCTGGGTATAGGCCATAGTTTTTTGTTTATGTCTTGTAATTTTTTTGTTCCAAACTGGATTTTTTGTATATTATAATGTGGTAACTTAGGAAATGAGATGCTCCCCCTCCCTGTGGATTGTTGCTGCTTGTTATAGCTATGCCTTGTTCATTTAGGACTTTTCTGAACTAATTTTGTGAAGTCTGTATCCTTTGTCATGTGTGGCCACAGAGGCCTCTCTTCCACTAGCTTAGTGGTCAGCTGATGAATCACTAGAGATTTATTTACACGTCTGGAATGACAACAACAACAACAGAAACCCCCCAGTCTTTGCAGATGGGCTGTGTGTATGTTGTGAGGCACGCCTTCAAGGTGCAGCCAGGCATTTTACAACTCTGTCTTAGTTTTTACTTCCTGTTTGCAAAGATCCTGAAAGTCAGCCAGAGGTAGGAGCTTAGGGCCCTCTTAGGTCTTTTCTGAGCATGCACCCAGTTGTGGCATGCATGTGACTTTCTTGATTCACAAAAATATGTAGGAGCTCTTCAAATGAAGCCCATATTCCCTAAAGTATCTCATTCCTTAGCCTTTCCTCCCAAGTGTTTACATTAGTCCATTGTTTGTCTCTTGCCCCAGGTAATAGCAATGAGTACATTAAATGTTTTCAACAAATGCATGCCCCTACACCCCACCTCTCCTCCCCTGTAGACCTCTACCACTCCCACACTTCTACCCTTGATATCTACCTTAGCCCTGGGAGAGTTCTGAGTTAGGCAAAAGACAGGCATATCCTTTGAGCCAGTTCTTCAGGGAGCCACTAGACAGGTCAAATCAGTCAACCACAATTCTTTGAGAATAAGATATGTTCTGCTCCCTGTGGTACTAGGTACCTGTACTGGAATGTTAGCTGTTGCCTTCAAGGCTGCTGCTGAACTGGGGAGTGGATGGGACCAGGGTAAATTAAAATTCCATGACTCTCTCTTAGCTGTTTATTTTGTATTAGGTGTTCCCTTGCTTGTAGTAAGCTTTTGATTATTTCCCAGTGTTCTGAAACAGTTGATTCTGGCAGTTTTTGCCAGTTATTCATTGTTTTTAATAGAGTGACAGACTTGGTGTTCTCTACTGTCTTAGTCCATTGTCTGGTGCCATAACAGAATACCATAGACTGGGTAATTTATAAAGAAAATAAATTTATTTAAAATTAATTTAAATTGAAATTTGCTAAATAGCTCTTCATAGAGATTATTTTAGTTTATATGCCTACCAGCAATGTCTGAGAGTGGCTGTTTCTCTATACCATCATCAACACTACTTAGTATCAAATTTCTTGATCTTCACAAATTGATGGATACATGCCATCTCTTTTTGGTTTATTGGTTTTTCTCTTATGATTTTGGATAAACATCTTTTTAGGTGTCATTCGTATTTGGTTTTCCACTGAACTGCCTTTTTGTATCATTGACCTTTATTCCATTATTCTTGGCCTTTAAAATTTATTTATTAGTTATTACCACTACCTCTTGACTAGGGTAATATATTGAACTGGTTCAAAAATCAAAGTGCTATAAAAAGGAGTACTCAGTAAGTCTTGCACCTGCAGTTGGTAGCTATTTTATTAGTTTCTTATTGATCCTTCCATGGTTCTCAACATGCAAATACAAGCAAATGCTAAAATACTTGTTAACTCCCTTTTTACACAAAAGGCGGCACCCTATGTCTACCACTTGTGTATTGTTTTTGTCATGTACTATTTTCCTGGGGACCGCTCTCATCCTTTTTCATGGCTGTGTATTTACCAGAATTTACTCAGTCAGTACTGTGTTGCTGGATCACTTCGGCTTTTTCCAGGCCTTTGTTCCTCAGTGATGTGCTAAGTAGCCCCATGCATGTCATTTCTTTACATGTGCCAGTTTGTCTATGGACGACATTGCCAGAGTAAGATTGCTGAGTTAAACGGCACATGCATTTAAAAAGATATGATAGATATGGCTGGACTTCCCTACGTAGGTGTTGTAACATTTTGCATTTGTTCCAGTCTGTTTCTGCATCATCTTTTCAATAGATTGTCAAACTTGGATTTTTGCCAGTCTGATAGGTGAGAGATGGCATCTTATTGTAGGTTTAATCTGCATCTCTCTTGAGTGAGGTTGAGGGTCCTTTCATATATTCACGGGCTGTTTATGTTTATTTCCTGTGAGCTAGCTCTTGATATCTAGTTCCCTGATTCTTCCCCAAGAAAAATTCCATAAATATTTTCACAGGATTGTGTTAAATTCCTAGATTAATTTGGAAAGAACTGATTTTATGTTGCATCTTTTTATCCAAGAACTTGTTATGTTTCTCCATTTGTTCAACCCTTCATATATAAAACTTTCTTCATATGGTTTTATTTCTAAAGTTTATTTCTAGGAATTTTATCTTTTTTCACTGTTGCTTTAAATGAGATCTTTACCACATCTGTGAACTAAGATTGCCTGTAGATACAAAGGTTGTTGTTTTCAGTATTCTAATTGTGTTCCCAGTTATCTTACTGAATTATTCTTATTCTTTATAATAGTTTTTCAGTATATTTTCCTGATAATCATATCAATGAACAATGTTTCAGGACCTCATTTTTTATTTCTAGCTCTTTTTCTTATTCTGTTGAGTCATTAGTGCATCCCAACACTCTTCTACAGTACAAAGGAGTCTGTGTACTATGTACTATGTGTTGCTGGTTTGAGGGATGTCCTTGTTTGCTCTTGGCTTTGATGGAAATGTGTCTTAATGTTTGTCCATGAAGCGAGATATTAGCTTTTGAATTGAAATATGTATATTTTATCATGTGGAGAAAACATTTATATCTTTTTCTTGTATTAAGTTTAAAAAAATCATACTTGGATGTCGAATTTTATCAAATGCTTTTTCGTTATCTTTGGTGACTCACTCAGAGTCCAGTCAGAAAAACAAACTACTCCAGGCATTTCAGATGGAAGAGATTGAATATGAGGATTGGGTTATATACGAGTTCAAAGGCTGACAAAATACAAAGGAAATGGGGTACTAGGATAGTGCAGACACTGTCACTTCCAGGGCTGGGGAAAAATAAGAGATGGTGTTACCACAGTTTTGGAGCTTGGTGCAGGGCTCCTGTGGGGCTGGTCTCCAGGCCTCCGAGAGAGGCACTGCAGAACTGCTGTACAGATGTTTGAGGGTGTGGGTGCAGCTCAGTGAGTGTTTGAACCCCTAGGGAGGGTTTGTGACCTGGTGGGTGCCAAGTCAACTGAGAGGGCTCCCATCTGGTCAGCGTTTGGGAGCCAGCCAGTGAGGGAGTGAACACAGTATAGCCTGAGGACAACCTGGGGCTAAGCCCTGCGGCTTGCCGGTGTCTGTGAGGGGGTGTGGCGAGGCTGGCACTAAGAGTGACAACGGAAGATGGGGGCTGGAACCACCATCTGCTGCTGCTGGTGGCATACTGACAGAAATAGGAAACTAGGAAGGAAGTCCCTTTTTCTCTCCTGTCATCTTCCATCCTCTCTCTAGGACTTCCTGTTGGCAGAAGTTAACAGGGAGTCAGTCAACAGGGGTCTGGAAAACCTAGGTAAGTTGGTGAAACTCTAGCCCCAGCGTTATAGAGAGAGTATAGCAGAGTAGGCTTGGAGAGGAAAGAACGTGGGTAAATAACTGCACATCAGGAATCATGCTATTCCCTTAACATGTCACTTCTGGGTGTACAGAATGACTTTCAACACGATGCATTAGCTTAATATCATATTAGGAAAACTCAACCTCTTCCAAATTTCCGGTCACGCCACAAATTTGTTACTCTTGTCAATACTGAATTCCATTCTGTTATGCTCAGAAGGTTACTAAGAGCCTTCTTACTAAACTTCTTCCTTGATTTAAAGTGTGCATATTACTTTAGGCTTGCAGCTGTGTGTCTAGTGATGGAATTGAAGAAATGGCTCTGGAAAATGCTCTGCTCATCTAATGGGCAATGCTCCTGTGTCCTTTTCTTTTTTTCTTTCTTTCTTTCTTTTTTTTTTTTTTTTTTTTTTTTGAGACAGAGTTTCTCTCTATTGCCCAGGCTGGAGTGCAGTGGTGCGATCTTGGCTCACTGCAACCTTCACCTCCTGGGTTCAAGCGATCCTCCTGCCTCAGCCTCCCCAGTAGCTAGGATTACAGGCATGCACCACCACGCTCGGTTAATTTTTTTGTATTTTTAGTAGAGACGGGGTTTCACCATATTTGCCAGGCTGGTCTTGAACCCCTGACCTTAGGTAATCTGCCCGCCTCGGCCTCCCAAAGTGCTGGGATTACAAGCGTGAGCCACCATGCCTGGCTGAGAATTGCTTGAACCCAGGTGGCGGAGGTTGCAGTGAGCCAAGATCGCGCCACTGCACTCCAGCCTGGGCGACAGAGCGAGACTCCGTATCAAAACAAAATTGCAAGTCTTTAGTGCAAGGGCGTAACAGGGAATGCCTGGTATGGACCAGTTGTTAAGGCTCTGCACAGCAACAATGGCCAAGTGTTCTTTATGTTGTGAGTAGGTTGTGAATTTCATTACAGTGTGATGAGGTTTGTTCTGTTCGTGGTTTTTGCATACTTTCAAGGGATTTTCTTAAACTTGTGAGTTCAGAGATGTCTGTTATAAATGAGATTTTAAGAAGAATGACTTTTGAAAGGGTTCTCACATAGGCAAATTAGGTCAGCAACTTCACTTTCCATGCTTTTCACACGTTTGGGATACTTGTCACCTAGTTTCTGGGTCAGGTGTGTATATATGCCAACAGGCTGGCTGTTTAGGTGAACAATAAGATGTCTCCATATGCTGGTGGTGTTACTAATGGTCAAAAGATCGATCACGTGTGAGGTTGCATTAAGAGCAACTTCTTTTCTCCGGGAATGCCACTTAATACCACCCTGGGACTGGCTCCGAGAAGCCTGGGAGGAGCTTAATATTTCTTGCTTCCTGTAACTGTATGCTGTTTAGTGCAGGGTAACCCTGCAAATAGGACAGAAAGATCGTTTGCAGTGAGAATGGCTGGAGGTTGACGCTCAACTTTCTCTGTGTTCAAGAATGGTTGTTTCCCATTTGTCAGTTGTGTTAGGTCCGAGCGATTTCTAGGAGCTCCTCATGAGTCTGGATCTTAAGGAATCAATGAAGCCCAATCAGAAATATCTTAATGTCAGTGTCTTTTTTGTTCGTTTGTTTTTGGTGACAATTACAAAAATTTTATTATCTTTTAAAATTTTTGTGGGTACATAGTAGGTGTATATATTTATGAGGTACATGAGATGTTTTGATACAGGCAGGCAATGTGAAATAAGCACATTGTGGAGAATGGAGTATCCATCCCCTGAAGCATTTATCCTTTGAGTTACAAATAATCCACTTATATTCTTTAAGTTATTTTGAAATATACAAAGTTTTCCAGAAAAGAATGCTTTCTATAAGAGGCTCCCCATGGTGAGGGTCCTTTGTAGTGGCAGAAGAATTAATGAGGGTAGATTTCAATTTCACACCCTTGCTACAGAGGTGATGGGAACTCTCTACGTCTGCTATGCAGGTGCTAAGGGCAGTGAGTCATCTTTGTTCAATCTTGTTCCTTCTGGTGACACATGAATGTACTTTTACCAAAAACATCACAGAATCTACGATGTGTTATTTCCATCTGGTTAATAATTATAACTACCTTTGGATTTCTTCCTACATCTTTCCACACTTACTTGGGGAAAATGCAAAAGGAATATTTCATCTTCACCGCAGTAGTGCCTGTGATTAATGCAGTCATGAGCTGCTAACGAAACAAGCAAAGAGCTGCTTAGCTTTGATTCAATCCTTAAATCACTTGGGAAAAACCAACTGAAGGGGGAAAAAAAGAGGTCGGAGAAGGCACTGGAATTCTCTTTTCTGTTTTTTCAAGAGACAAGGTCTCGCTATATTGCCCAGGCTGGATTTGAACTCCCAGGCTCAAGCGATCCTGCCTCTGCCTCCTGAGCGGTTGGGATTACAGGCATACACCACTGCTCCCGGCAACAATGGAATTGTTAAAGACAGAGGCTGGCCACCTGTCTGACTTGCTTGCAGTTAGCACCCACACTGCTTATGAAAGTACTAGCGAGTTTCAGGCCTTTTCCTTGTAGTTCATGTGACCTTGTGTTCCCAGTATTTACCAAATATTTTAAATAGTTTCCCAAAAAATTTCCTCCTTCATTTCACACAGTGTGCACATTCAGACCATAAAAGGACCTACTGGAATAAATGCTGAAATTTCACAAACCACAGTGTATCTTAATGATAGGTTTTTAGATATAGGTTTACAGGGGGGCTTATAGTAGTTTCATGATAGGGTGAATTTTTCTCAATCTTTGATATTTTCCAGTTTGCCTCCTTGGGGTTGCATTTTGGCAGAGAAGGCTTTAACACCCCAATGTTCTTAACTTCAGTAGTTGTTGATTGAACAACTACTTTTGGCAATAACCTTTTTCTGTACTATAGAGGATATCAAATAAAAAGGGAGAATTGACCAGATGTAGTCCCTGCTTTGTAGAATTTTACATTGGGAAGGGAAAGATGGAATGGTGAAGAGAATCACAGAAGTATGGAGAGAGGCAGATTGATTCCAGCTGGAGGGATTTGAGGAAGGTTTGTGTAGGATGTGGCATGTGAACTTGGCCTGGCATGATTGGTTGGAAATAGGCAAAGGGATGACGGATTGGGAGGGCATTTTAAGTAATGCAAATAGATTGAGCAAAGGCTTGGAAGTAGAATAGCACTTGGCAAAATGTGTTGGGAGAAGGGGAATGATAGTCACTCTGTGGACTGGAATTGTAGTCTTAGTGGGATAGGCGATATAGAGAGTCTTCATCCAACTGTGTGATAAATATCCTCTGGCCGTTTAGGCCCCTCTGTGACACACACAGCCAAAATTTAATATATGAGTAGAATGCAAAAATCTGTCATTATAAGAGAAAAATCAAGAAACAGTATATATGGTGGTAAAGAACATAGATTTGAAGCTAGATTGCCTGGGTTCAAATCTTTAATAGCTGTGTTATCTTGGGCAAAGCTACTCAGTCTCTCTGATGCCTCAGTTTTCTCACCTATAACATGGGATAAGACTAGTCCCTATGATAGATTAATTTCAAGAATTAGATTAGAAGATTAACATGAAAAGGGTTTACAACAGTACCTGGCATATAGTATAGAGTAGTGTGTAATTGTTAGTAATTAGTAGTAGTGGTTGTTGTTTTAGTGTTTGTGTTTGGGTATAATGTGTAATTGATTTTTTTTCCTTCGAGAAAGATTAGCCTTTCTGTAGCTTATGTATTCTATATAATTTTGCATTAGTGAAAGTATAGCATCTCAAGCTCGTAAGTGCATGAAGACTCTCACAGTGGAATTTTCGTTGTGATAAAAATGTCTTTCTTTCAGAGAGAATTTGCGCTTTGCATTGTAGCTGTCTAGTTTCACTGGCTGCTTCTTGGGATGTGGCAGATTGTGAAGGTTGGTTGTGTAGCTTATTCACGTGCATGTGCATGTGTACACCTGTGTGTGTATCACAGGTTCTTGTTGAGTCCATTTTGAAATTAATGGGATATATATAGAAGAGAATGATTATCTTTTCTATCAGAAGGGTGTTTTGGTTACAGGCAACAGAAACTGACTTTGGCTCATTTAGGCTTAAGAAAATTAATTGGAAGGCTGCTAGGAGCGCCTAGAAGAGCCAGTGGCTGGGCACCAAACTTGGGAAAAAGCAAGAAGCAAGGTAGCTTGGGTGACCAGGAAACCAGCATCCTGGTCATAGGCAAACAGCCTGGTCTGCGTGAAGCCCCTATTGCTGTCATTGCCACTGTAATGTGGGATCCCCAGCTTCCAATCATTCCTACTCTCCTCATATAACTGCTTGTTGTATAATAGCAGAAAATTGGAAGCAGTTTAAATGCCTAGCACTAGGGATCTTAATACATTATGGAACAGCCATGTATCGGAATAATTGCAGCCCTTAAACATTTTATGTGAGAATATCTAATGACATGGAAACCGTTCACACATTCTATTAAGTGACAGTGGCAGGTAGCAAAACCGTATGGGCAGGATAATTACATTAAAAATCCGATCAAGTAGGTATTACTACTATTCCTATTTTACAGATGATGCATAGAGATTTTGACTCTTGCCCAAGATCACGTGGGTTAGTAAGTGGAAGAGGGGGGTTTCAACCTGGGAGTGAGGCTCCAGAACCAGGCACTTAGCCATTTCACTGTCCTTTCCCTGATAAAGACAGAAAGGCTCTAGAGGAAAAAGTAGTAATAGCAGTTATAGCTGGGTAGTGAGATCATGGATACTTTTATTACTATTTATTTCTTCTGATTTCTATGAGCATATGTTACCTCTATAGTGACCAAAATGATTCTTAAGTTATTGTAAAAATATAACGTTTTAGAATACTTTTCTTCCAGTTGAAAAGTTATGTGTCCCGGCGGGGCACCATGGTTCATGCCCATAATCGCAGCACTTTGGGAGGCCGAGGCAGGCGGATCACTTGAGGTCAGGAGTTCTAGACCAGCCTGGCCAACATTGTGAAACCCCATCTCTACTAAAAATACAAAAATTACCCAGGCGTGGTGACGCACGCATGTAATCCCTTGGGAGGCTGAGGCACGAGAATTGCTTGAACCCGGGAGGCAGAGGCTGCAGTGAGCTGAGATCGCACCACTGCATTCTAGCCTGGGTGACAGACTGAGACTCCATCTCAAAAAAAAAAAAAAAAAAGTTGTGGCCCGGAGATATCCATCACAAATTGCTTTTCATATATGACAAGAAAATTTCAAAAATTGTCTCCATCAATATATGAATTTTCTCTTTGAAGTTTTGTGTCCTACTGTGTGTGTTTATTGTAGACAGGACAAGCAATTTCCATCATTGAAACCAGAAAACATCTTTGGAATTTTAAACTCAGTGTTGCTGTATTTTGGGGATTACATAAAAGCATTGATAAAATAAGTTGTGCTTTAAATGGAAGATTTAAATCTGTGAAGCTTTTTAAGATTGTGTTTGTCACGTCTTGGCACACATTTCTTGTTTGTAGAGTCTGGTTATGAAAAGACTCTGGTTTCCATATGTATATTTAAAATACTCTGAGTCATGGATTCAAATGAGTAATTGACATAATATGTCCATCAGATTCCTGCTTTGTCATACCGTCACATAAGGGGAGTACATTTATTTTAGTAATTGTAATAGTAAACACAGTTAATTAGCAAAATGGTATTCATTTTAAATACCTTTCCCCGGTGTCTTTTATAACTTTCCAGAAATTGCTTTATTGGAATGAAAATGTGTTTGATTTCACAGGAGGCTTAGGAAAAGGGCCACATGTGTATGAACACAGGCGTATGTATACAGTGCTGGGAGTGGTGTATACATAGGTGTTTAGAGATTAGAAGCTCCATGTCTCTATTTCTTCCTCCTTTTTGCTAAGTCTCAACTCAGAATCTGAAACCACATTGATTGTAAGATGTACAATTACATGTGCCACCAAAAAAGAAAAAAAATTGATTGTAACCGGGTGTGGTGGCTCATACGTGTAATCTCAGTACTTTGGGAGGCTGAGGTGGGTGGATCGCTTGACTCAGGAGTTTGAAACCAGCCTGGGCAACATAGTGAGAACCTATTTCCCCTAAAGATAGAAAAATAAGCCAGGCATGATGGCACGCACCTGTGGTCTCAGCTACTTGGGAGGCTGAGGTGGGAGGATCGCTTGAGCCCTGGAGACGCACTGCTGTACTCCAGCCTGGGTGACGGAGTGAGACTGTGTCTCAAAAACAAAAAAACAAAAAAACCAAAAAAATGCAGTTGTAAGATTTACAATTACGTGCACCACCAAAAGAGAAAAAATGCTATGAATCAAATAATGTTGATGCTTTCTAATTATCTATAACCTTTACTTATAACATTGAAAGAGCCACTTATTTAAGTATAGATTTTTTGCATGTGTTATTCTTGTATATACATAATTTAAAAGTATAAGAAAAATAGATTAAGGAATTCTTAACATTTCTTCACAGTCAGTGTCCATCTCTTCTGAATCATCCGTTTGACACAGAATCAACAATATTTGTATTTTCACATAATGAGTAATCAAAGTGTTGACAAGGCAGCTTTTCTGGAAGAGGGCTCTGTAAGTTTTTTTAAACAGCTATATTAAGATAGAATTCACATACCATATAATTTGCCCCTTTAAAGTGTAAATATCAGTGGTTTTGGGTATATTCAGTTATTCATTTTGTAAATTTGGCAAAATACACATTATAAAATTTGCCATTTTAACCATTTTAACTATTGAGTGGATAAATTCTCTTTCAAAACTCTTTAGAGACAGATGCGTAGGATATTAATATGTACAAAGAACAACAAAATATTGAAATAATTTCATCATAATATTAGGGAGATTTTAGAATGTATAAAAATATAAAAATTCCATGTTACTATGTATAGGATCCTATTTTACCTATCTTTTATATATAGTACAAATTTAAGTGGAATCAAAATGTGTAATCCTAGTATGCCCATATAAAAGGGTAGCCAATATACAATGCCTTGTCTTTGAAAATTTCAAATGTGCATCATAATATCACATTAAAAGTCTTTGAATGTGCCTAGACATGGAAATGCAAAATAAGAAAAATGAAATTATTCCCTTGTTTTGTATGTATCTTTTTTTTTTTTTTTGAGACGTGGTCGTGCTCTGTCGCCCAGGCTGGAGTGCAATGGCACAATCTCGGCTCACTGCAACCTCCGCCTCCCTGTTCAAATGATTCTCCTGCCTCAGCCTTCCCAATAGCTTACAGGCGCACACCACCACGCCTGGCTAATTTTTGTGTTTTCAGTAGAGATGGGGTTTCACTACAGTGGCCAGGCTGGTTTCCAACTCCTGACCTCAGGCGATCCGCCTGCCTCGGCCTCCCGAAGTGCTGGGATTACAGGCGTGAGCCACCATGCCCGGCCGTGTGTATCATTTTTTTCCCTTGAGGGTGAGATTAAAATGTCTAGACCTTTAGATGTGGAATTCCCACCTCCATTTACGAAAAGTGATTACACATTGGGCAATAAATTAAATCTATTTATTGTGTTTCAGTTTGAAATTTAATTGTGCATGTCTCTGGTAGGGTATTTTTTTGCTGTTTAAATCTCTGCTCCAAATATGAGCCAGGAACACTGTAGCTCAGTTTTAAAATTAGTAGAAACTGCATGTTACATGAATGGAACATTCTTTTTTGTTGTTGTTCTTTTTGAGACAGGGTCTTGTTCTATCACCCATGCTGGAGTGCAGTGGTGCAATCATAGCTCACTACAGCCTCGAGCTCCTGGGCTCAAGTGATCCTCCCACCTCAGCCTCCTGAGTAGCTGGGACTACAGGCACACACCACTGCACCCAGCTAATTTCTGTATTTTTTTGTAGAGATGGGATTTTGCCATGTTGCCCAGGCCGGGGATGGGACATTCCTTTCACTATTCCCTACCCCCCCATATTTCTTCAGAACTTAATAATAGTTTTGTTCCTTATCAAGAACCAAGTTCATTGGTAGCCTCCCAGAAAACTGGATTCAGTTCTAAAATGAAGAGATGGCTGGAAAACTTATCGAATGCATTTAAAAATTGGTCACCTTTTCCTCCATTTAAGAAAAGTCTCAAAATCACTTCATTATGTATAGTGTTCTTTTCTCCACCTTGCTTATCTCTGAAACACTCTTTCTCGGCTTTGGATTTAAAATTTGGTAAGAATTATTGTATCTCTCTTTGACTCTGAATATTCTTGTTGCTTTGTAAGATGTATATGTCTAAATTTCATCTCTTCACTTCACATCATGAAATCTTCCTTCTCTAGTCTTCTGTTTTAAGTCTCAGTTTGACTGTTGATAGAATGTTTCCAGTATTAACTTATAAGCTATGACTATGAGTTGATAACTGTTGTTTTAACAAAGATACAAAATTTATTCAAATAAATCTGCTTTAGTCTCCTGGGAAAGCTGGATATATATTTCTGTGATGTTGGGCTGAGAATTCTGAACTGCATTTTTATTTTTATTTTTTTATTTTTGTTTATTTTTCAAGATGGAGTTTTGCTCTGTTGCCCAGGCTGGAATGAAGTGGTGCGATCTTGGCTCGCTGCAACCTCTGTCCCCAGGTTAAAGCGATTCTCCTGCCTCAGCCTTCTGAGTAGCTGGGATTATAGGCGCCCGCCACCATGCCCAGCTAATTTTTGTATTTTTAATAGAGACGGGGTTTCACCATGTTGGCCAGGCTGGCCTCTAATTCCTGACCTCAGGAAATCCACACTCCTCGGCCTCCCGAAGTACTAGGATTACAGGCGTGAGCCATTGGGCAGGGCCGGAATGGCGTTTTTAAATTGAAATTAACTGCTGGATGCGTTCTTACTTTCTTACTAGGTAGAGTACAACATCTTTCCTTTTGCTTAGTTTATATTGTTAAAAGTATATATTTGGCATTCTGGGGTCAGAGCATTTTGCTTTGCAGCTTTTTTTTTTTTTTTTTTAACTTTTCCCACTAAAGGTTTTAAGATTACTGTAAATGTGATAAGATGAACACACACAAAAAACCTGTGAGAACCAGGATTCTCCGGGGATTTGACTGTATATTTGGAATGCTGTGAAAGGCACTGGTGGCTGTCCTAGTTCGTTTAGAGTTGCTGTATCAGAATACCTGAAACTGGATAGTTTATAAAGTAAAGAGGTTTATTTAGCACATGATTCTGGGGGTTGGAAAGTTCAGGACTGAGCATTTGCATCTGGGGAGGGCCTTAGACTGTTTTAACTCATGTTGGAAAACAGAAGTGGAAATGATGTGTGCAAAGAAACCACATGGCCAGAGAGAGAAACCAAGGAAGCCAGACTCTTCTGAACAACCCACCCTCTTGGGAATGAATCCATTCCGTGAGAGTGAGAACTCACTCCCGTGGGAAGGCATTAATCTATTCATGAGAGCTCCACCCCCATGACCCAGACACCTCCCAGTAGGCCCATAGGCCCCACCTCCCACCGCTGCCACAGTGGGGATCAAATTTTAACATGAGTTTTGGTGGGGACAGACCAAACCACAGCAGTGGTCTTGCCAGCGTGTACATGATAATGGCATTTCCCCCCCTATCCTGGGAAAGGAATTACTGCACGGACCTTAGAAAGCAGATAAACCACTCTGTAAGAAATTAGGTATTTTCTTCTTAGAATCAATTCAGTTCAGTGTTACTGTTCTCTTTTATGTGTTAGACCCTGTGTTAGATACTGTGGAGTGACAGCAAAGCAATGTAAAACCTCCCTCGACTATTGAAACAGCCACCAAAGAGGTCAACTTCCTGCCTCCTGCCTCTCTCCATTCCTTCTCATTTTCTACTCCCGTGCCAGAGTTTATAGCTTTCCAAAAAAAAAAAAAAAAAAAGTAGTAGTGTTTGGCTCCTCATTGCCTCCAGGGCAAAGTCCAAATTCCTTAACATTGCATAGAAGACCTTTTCTCATCGGGCTCTAGTCTCCTCTTGTTCCTGAACCAAACCTTCCATAGAAACACATTTCCCTGAATGCATTCTGCCTCTCAAACATGTCTTTACACATGTTCTTTCTATAGAATGATCTACTCCCTAGTTACTCCTTCTTGTCTTCCCATCACAGTGTCTTCATAACGCTATTCACATTATTTATTTCCTTGTCTTTGCTGCTGCCAAAGATGAAAGGAGGGATCTCAATCATTTCCATTCCAGGGCCTGGCACAAAGCGCTTATTAAATGTTGTTTTCAGTGAATGATGCAGAGTAACCTCCTTAAAGGATCTTATAATTTAATGAGGAGGGAAGATGATCAGAGGGCCGAAAGTCACTAACATGTGTCTGAATGGAAATAGTGTATTATTCAGCTAAATTCTGCAGTTTCCCTTGACCAGACATAGAACAAATATAAATCTGTCCAGTTTTAGTTGCCCCATAGCTTAGTGTTTGGTGACATTTCTCAGTGCACTGTGGTGCTATTTTGTATGCTGCTGTTCTTTGTCAATGAAGCTCCAAGCAGAGGGCTTGTGAATACGGAGCTAAGGTTTGTTGCAATGGGGAAGAAATATGAGTCAATTAGTGATGAAAATGAGAAAATGCACTGTTCGATATCATAGGCATGATCTTGTCAAATTGAAAAAAGTTCTCTTTACACTGTGAGACCATTCTGTCTTTTGTTATTATATGCATACTTCTCTCTCTTTGATTAGAGTCATTTTTTTTCCCTCCCAGCCAGTTAACATGTTCATAAACAGAGGTCCTTCTAACTCAGTTACCTTTTGTAATGCCCATAGGAAAATGCTCATTTTGGGGTTAAAATCTTATCGTCTCCCCTGCTTCCATCTCAGTTTCTTTACCTTACCAGAAAATTAGGTAATTATCTGTTAGATTTAAAATGTGAGGATCAGATTTAACTCCTGAAATAAGGAGAAGGGTGTAGATGATTTTGTTTATTCTTATAGCAAATTTAGCTTTATTGTAGAATTACTTTATAATAATTTACTAATTGGGATTTTTTTCTCCGTTTTATGTGTTTTCAATAAAAGCAGTTCTTGATGTTGACAGTGAAAATTTTGCTGGTGGCTAACTTGGGTTTTGTCTGTTGAAAAAGATCTTCATTTTTCTCTTGATTCTTAAAAGCTATTTTTGCTGGGTAGAGAATTCTAGGTTAGCAGTTATTTTCTTGAAGATATTTCTGTCTTCAAATCTTCACTGTGGCATTTCAGAAGTTGGTCACTCGTACTTGGAAAGTAATCTTTCCTTTTTCTGTGGCTGCATTCAATATTTTTATCTTTGTATTTCACTTTCTGCAGTTTCACTGTGAAGTAACCAGGTGTGTATTTCTTTTCATTTATCCTGTTTGGGCTTTTTGAAGTGCATTACTGTCTTCGAAGCCATTCATTACTGTCTTTGTTTTGTGTTGCTATAACACAATACCACAGGCTGGGTAACTTATAAATAAAAGAAGTTTATTTCTTACAGTTCTCGAGGCTGGGTAGTCCAATATCAGGGTGCTAGCATCTGGCAAGGGCCTTCTTGTGGCGTCATTCCATAGTGAAAGATGGAAGGGCAAGAGAACATGTGTGAGAGAGAGAGCAAGAGATTGAACTCACAGCCTCGAGCCCTTTTTTAATGTCATCAATCCATTCATGCGAGTAGAGCCTTCATGACCTAAATATCTCCCATGAGGTCCACCTCCCAGCACAGTTGCATTGAAGATGAAGTTTCCAACATTTACTCCTTGGGGTGCACATTCAAGCCACTGCAATCACTGTTGAAAATTCGGAGCCGTGACCTCTTTCACTGTTGTTTTTGCCTCATTCCCTCTCTCTCCCCTCTTTTTGGTACTCAGTGAAGCTCAAGTTAGAGTTTATGATTGCAATGGTTCATTCTGCTTTCCTTTTAAAATTTCTTAAGGTAGAAGCTTAGATGCCTGATTTGCAACTTTTTTCTTTTCTAATAAAAACATTTAATCTTATAAATTTCATTCTAAGTTTAGCTGAATCTCACAAACTTTTTTTTTTTTCTTTCAGTTCAAAATATTCTCTAATTTCCTTTGAGACCTTCCCTGTCACCCATGGATTATTTAGAAGTGTGATGTCTACTATCCAAGTGTTTGAAGATTTTCCTGTTATTTTTTCACATTGCTTTCTAGTTTAATTCCATTATGGTCAGGAACATACATCGTATGACTCTAGTCCCTTTCAGTTTGCTACGATTTCTATTATAAATGTTCCATTTTGTACTTGAAAAGAATATGTACACTGTTGTGGTTGAATGGAGTATTCTATAAATGTCAGTTTGATCCCGTTAGTTAATGGTGTTCAGTTCTTCTATATATATCCTTGCTGACTCTGTCTACTAGCTCTGTCAATTGCTGATTAGAGTTTTTACGTCTCCAGCTGTAATTTTAGATTTGCCTCTTTCAATTCTGTCAGTTTTTGCTTTATGTATTTTGATGCTCTATTGTTAGGTACAAACACATATAGGATTGTTATATCTTCTTGGTGAATTGACCCTTTTATTATTATGTACTGTCTTTCTTTATCTCCCACACTTTTCTTTCTCTGAAGTTGAATATTAATATAGCCATTCAGGCTTTCTTATGATTAGTGTTTGCATGGCATATCTTTTCCTCCCATGTGAGTTGCAATTTCGCTGGTTCTTTATATGCTGAGTAATTTTGGATTTTATCCTTGACATTTTGGTTATTATGTTCTGAGACTCTGTGTCTTGTGTAAATACTGTGGAGAATATTGACGCATTTGTTTAGCAGGCATTGACCTAGTTGAGCTCAGGGCATGTGTTCTGTTCTAACTAGCCTTTTGCGGGTTGTGGTTTCAATGTCACTTGTTTTCAAAACCTTTGCAGTGCTATTTGTTACCTGTCTGTATTTTACCAGGTGGCCACCTGGAGCCTGGTTGGTGGTTTACCCCATGATTTAGGCGTCCTGGTCATTTGTAGGTGAAAGTTGTTCACAGTAGACCAAGGTTTGAGATTTTCTTGGTCACTCAGCTGAGGTGAAGCTGGGCTGCTGTCTGAACTTGTACCCTCAAGGTGCTGCCCCTTTGAAGGTTAGCCCACACTGATAGGTAATGCCCCAGGACCCCATTCTTGGAAGTTAAAGGACTCCAGCCCTCATCCTCCAGACTCTAAAAGGACTCCTTTCAGCAAATGTGACCCTAGGGCCAAAAAAGCAGCTGGACATCTGGGTTTTCTCCAGGCTCAGGCACTGATCTCAGGCTTCTAGACTTCAGAACTGTGAGACGATACATTTCTGTTGTTTAAGCCACTGAGCAGATGGTACTTTGTTATGGCAGCCCTAGCAAACTAATGCTAAGTGCGCAATTCTCATCTCCCCCAGGCCCCCGTGGCTAAGTTGAGATCTTTAAGAAAACATATTCTTTTAGGTCCTTAAATTTAACTTCGAGTACCTAGTCCATTGCCTGTGCATAGGAAGTAGGCACTTGATAAATACTCACTGGTGTTTCTGCTGTGATGGAAAATTTATGTCCCTGAAAAACCATACATTCTGCACAACAATACACTAAAAATAATAAGTGTCTTGTGGGAAAAGTAAGATTATAGCTGGTCTCTCAAAATCATTGCAACTTGGTAACTACTAGCAAAAACCATAATTGCTACCTTAAGAGATTATCTGGACCACCCAAGCAGGCATCTCAGTGTGGCTGGATGTTGCTAAAATGGATACTAAAATATACAAAAAAACAGTCCGCCTGCGGTGGCTCACGCCTGTAATCCCAGCACTTTAGGAGGCTGAGGTGGGTGGATCACCTGAGGTCAGCAGTTCAAGACCAGCCTGGCCAACATGGTGAAACCCCGTCTCTACTAAAAATACAAAAATTAGCCGGACATGGTGGCGCATGCCTGTAATCCCAGCTACTCGGGAGGCTGAGGCAAGAGAATCTCTTGAACCTGGGAGGCGGAGGTTGCAGTGAGCCGAGATCGCGCCATTGCACTCTAGCCTGGGTGACAGAGTGAGACTCCATCTCAAAAGTAAAATAAAATAAAATAAAATAAAATAAACAAAAACAGCAACATGGAAACCTGGCAATGCTTGAATTGGTACATGGGCGGTGGATGTTGAGACAGTGCACACAGAAGTGGAACTCTGAGCCCTGGGCCTCCTGTGATAGTGGCCATTGATGGAGCCAGTGCAGGTAGCCAAACTGAGGGAGCCTCTGGCTGGCTGTGGGTGCGCTGTCTGGGGAGTGGGACCCAGCTGTAGGCTGTTTGACAGCGTGGCATAAAATAATTTTTTGCATGAAACTTTTAGTCATGAAACTGCAAAACTGCTTGGGACTTGGGTGCCATTTCTAAAGGGCTCTGACAATTTGGCAATGATTTAATGTCATTATAGGGTGGTTGCTTTGTTCTTAAAATACAGCTTCTTGCTAAGGCCAAGTTAGGTGACAGTTTTTTTTTTTTTCCTTTTCTTGCCTAAGATTTTCATTTCACTCCCTCCACTTTTTTGCTTAGGAAACTCTCAAATGAATCAGTGTGACTTCCATGCTATAAGATGTCACTGCTACTTACCAATCAAACATGAGCTCATCTGTGTTACAGAAGCAGAACAGAACAGATGGTATTTGAATTAAGTTGAATTCCCTTTTGTACTGCTTATATTCATTTGTTAGTCTCCTGGGCTTATGATAAATTCAAGTGACTTCAGATGTATTGAGTTAGCCAGAGCTGTATATTTAAAATTACCTGTGGAGTTATTTAAAATTACCTGTGGAGTTATTTAAAATTTAAGTTGATATATATTGCCCTAAACTTGTTCAAAATTTGAATTAATTCATTGAAACATTCAAAAATTGAGTGTTTTCAATTAATAGAGACATTCTCTTTGTGATATAGAAAGCTATTCGTTGTTCTTGTTGACTTTTCTTTCTTACAGAAGAGGTTGTTTATAAATTTTTAGTGTGATCCTAATTGTATTTCTAATATTTTTGGTTTGGTTCCCTAAAATAGTTAAGGTCACTTTTAGGTAACAATTAGCGGACTTTAATTTTGACCATATATAGTTACACACACATCACGCACACACACAAATACAGTTTCAAATAATTTCTTTTAATTGATTTCAGTCTTGTTAATCTTGTGCGTAAATTTCAACTGAGCTATTAATGACACCTACGACTGACTTTCATTATTTGTTAGTTTTGAAAATTCAAATTAATATATTACAACATAGAAAGTCTATCAAATCTTGAACATTTAGATTGTAAAGCTTTTTGTTTTAGCAAATTTACTTATGATCAATTTATAATTGAAGAATTGGCTTCTAATCCCATATATAGTTTTTTAAAATTGAAATTATATATATATAGAAAAGTGCATATATAGAGTGCCATACTTTGTCATAGGTTAAGTTTTCTAAATAAGGAAAGTGTCTTAAAGAGAAACTCTTTATACAAGGAGGAAAGTAGTCATAAACTATTCTTAGTTTGGCATAAAATGATTTTTTTTTTTTGCATGGAAATTATAGGCGTAAAACTGCAAAAATTGCTTAGGACTTGGGTGCCATTTCTATAGGACTCTGGCAATTTGGCAATAATGTAATGTCATTATAGAGTGGTTGCTTTGTTGCATTTTATTGACTTTTTAGTGATAAATTCCAGGAGAATCTTTATTTTCCAGGATAAAACTCAATGTGGCGTTAATCCTTTCCATTTTCTCACCTCCTTTGTGTAGCTAGAGCTGAAAGCAAAGTAGGAGAGTGGCTTTGAAAAGGAAGGAAAATAAATTTGACAATGATCAAAAACGCCAGGCTGAAGGCAGCTTTTAATGTGATTAACCAGTTTGTAATTCATTTTTGGGAAACATTTCCAGAATATAACAATTTCAGAGAACACGAAACCTTCTTATAATTCTGGAAGTGGGAAGGAGAGAGGAACAGTGTGTGTTTTTGTGTGTGGCTTGCATTCTCTCCTCCGTTTTTGGAGCAGCGTGAGATTATTGCAATGCTACATTTCCTCCCTCTGCGCCCTCCTACCCCATCAATGTCTCATGGGTGGTGTGATATAGGCTATGGGAGTGAAGACCACTGGTGTTAGTCTGTGTATAGTTCCTGGGGTGTGGCGAGTACCAGCTCTGACAGCGGAAGAGAACTATACTGTTGATTCCCATTATTCTCAGTAGGTGTGTTCTATAAAATTGCTGCGAACACCAAATTAGCGAATCCTGAACCATCGTTCCCAGAGGAATAGGGGGTTAGGGTCCTGTGATCCTCAAGTTGCAACATTGTCTTCGACTGATTAATATGTAACCTTGTTTTATGTGTGCTTCTGTTTAAAGATACCTTACTCACTATATATCGTGGATTCATTAACATTGAACTCACAACGAACAGCACTGCCACTCGTGCCTGAACAAAATTTCCCTAATCCATGCATTTTCTTTGCAAGGCACACTGGATAGCACTTCACCACTTTGCTTGGGGACCATTCTAAACAGCACAGTCACCAACACAAAGCACAGACATGTGAAAAACATGGCACTAAATAGACCATGAAAAGACCATTTGTTGACAGTACGAGGCTGAAACGAGAAGGCGCGTTGTTGCCTGGTTTGACCTCAGCTGGGAACATGCACGTTCGATGACTCAATTTTTTTGTTGTCGTTGTTGCTCTGCAAACATCTGTGAATGACCAGGGAGGTGCCACGAGTATTGATTTTTGGGGTTACAAATACATTTTAGCAAGTAGGTGAATTC